>NC_000005.10:83443140-83746170 GCF_000001405.40 Homo sapiens
GGTGCCAACTGTAAACTGAAATATAAGATAACATGACGTATGACTGCAATTTCTGTTGATGATCACACCTTTCTTGGTGTTCGTAAAAAATTAAACTATTCACACCATAAGAATGAGGACATAATTCTGATCAAGATGAAATAAAATGGCTTGGATCTGTCTTCCTGCCAGAAACAACCAAAAAACTGGACAAAATATATTAAACAATGGCTTTCACGTAACTGGATGTCAGGTAAGAAATGTCACTGGATGACAGTGAGAGGCAGGAAATAAACAAGGTGAGCTTTATCATTGTCCCAGTTTACTGTCTAGAGAGAGTTTTCAGGCCATGTTGCCAACTGTCTAGGTTGTGGAGGAACCAACTTGCATGCTCTGCTGTTAGTTCTGTAAAGAGCAAGACGACTTTGGAAAAGTTTACCAGTTTCTTAAACAGTTAAACATATATCTATCATAAGGCCTGGATATTGCACTCCTAGTTGTTTACTCAAGAGAATGAAAGCATATGTCCGTAGAAAGACATACACAAATGTTCATAGCATCTTTATTTGCAATGGCCAAAAAACTGGAAATAACCCAAATGTCCATGAATAAGTGAGTGGATAAACACACTGTGATATCATCTATGCAATGGAATACTACACCAGTAAAAAGGAATGATCTGTTGATATAATAGCATGGATAAATCTTAGAGAAAGGAGCAAAAGAGTACAGACTGATTGCATTTATATAAAATTCTAGAAAATGTACACTAATCTAAAGTGACAGAAAGAAGATCAGTGGGTGCCTGACGGTGGGGGCAGAGGTGCTGGGAGGGAGTGATTACAAAGGGACACAATGAATAGATAGATATGTTTATTATTTTTACTGTGGTTATGGTGTCATGAGTACATACATATGTCAATAGTTGTCAAAAATGTACACTTTTAATATGTGAAGTTTCTTCTATGTCACTTAAAAATATTTTTTAGCCAGTAATGGTGGCTCACACCTGTAATTGCAGCAATTTGGAAGGCCGAGGCGGGTGGATCACCTGAGGTCAGGAGTTCGAGACCAGCCTGGCCAACATGGCAAAACCCCGTCTCTACTAAAAATACAAAAATTATCCAGGCATGCTGGTGCACACCTGTAATCCCAGCTACTCAGAGGCTGAGGCAGGAGAATTGCTTGAACCCAGAAGGCAGAGGTTGCAGTGAGCCAAGATTACACCACACCACTGTACTCCAGCCTGGGTGACAAAAGCGAAATTCTGTCTCAAAAAAAAATTTTGTATATGTATATATATGTGTGTGTGTGTATATATATATATATATGTATATTTAAATTAAATACATAAATATATACATATGTATATATACAAATGTATAAATAAAATTAAATACATAAATATATACATATGTATATATGTATGTATATTTAAATTGTGGTAAAATATACATATCATAAAATTACCATTGCATTTTAACGCTTTTTAAGTGTACCGTTGAGTGGCATTAAGTACACTCATATTATTGTGCCATCATTACCACCATCTATCTCCAGAAAACTCTGAATCCCTATTTATCATGATTAAAAATTATAATATAGCAATCATAATTATTTACATATTAATACTTATATCTCAATAAAGCTGTTTTTTAAAAAAAGCCACAGAGTTTTTTTTCTCAGCTTTTAAAAATGAAAACAGATCAGTAGACACTAGCCTGATAATTGGTTATTTATGAGAGCAGTTACCCTGTGCTGGGCCTTGGGCAAAGTCTTGTGTGTATGTTATACCCATCAATTCTCACAACAACTCTATGAGGTAAGTAGTGTTACAATCCCTATTCGACAAATGAGTAGACTGAGGACTTCTTTTTTTGAGAAAGGGTGAAATTAAGTAACTTTTCGAAGTGTATTCAGCTACTAAAATGGTAAAGCCATGTTTTGAACCTGGGCAGCCTGCTGCTATTTCAACCCTTATATATCCAGGAATAATTTTTCAATAAGGAGAAAATAGGTGCACTAACAATTTTAACCTCATTTTCAGGGCTGAGAGGGAATCAAAGTATCTCTGAAATAGAAACCATATGTGTTCTTTCTCTCTATTCATTTTTTCACCAATTTTTCAGGATATTTGTGTGTCAAGCACTGCTCCAGAAACTTGGGATACAAATACTATAACAAAACAAAACAAATCCCTCCTGGTCCTTGCTTTTAAAGTCTCGTGTATTCTGTAAATTTTAGCCCAGTGGGATAAATGTAATAAATGAAGTGCATACAAATTACAGTAAATAATTCTTCTGGAAGCCTTCAGAAAAATGTCATTGAGTAGTACAGACTTAATCCAAGGCTTGAAATTTTGGCCAGCTTTTTTTTCTAGATAGACAAAGGTAGGAAGCAGACAAAGAAGTTTACAGGTCTTAGAAGCAACATACACAGAGGCATGCAGGATGATCTCAAGAAGCAAAATGTTTTCAGAGACAGAGAGAAATCACTGGATATGTACTTTTTACTGGATATGTACTTTTTAGGCCAAAGTGTTATAAGAAGAATCATCAATGATTGAGTTGGAAATTTCTGGAAAATGAAAAGGGTTCTTTGGGAGTTCATTAGGCTATTACAATTTCCAGAAGTATTTGAACATAAAATTAATTGTGCTTTGTGGCCATGAGATAACAAAAGTAGATGAACTTGAGAAGTTTAGCTGCAATCCACACTCCAGGTCACAATGTGTGACCTAGGACTCTAAGTGCTCGGTATCTCTAAGTGGTGTATTGGTACAATGAAAATAATTTGGATCTGGACTAAACTTTTGTGGCAAGCTAAATTTTACATGATAACAAGACCACCTCAAAGCTATTTTAATAAATGCTTATGAAACATGCTTTACACACTTTATACTTGTATGAAAATGTCATAAAGCTACTTTTCCATATCCCTTTCTCTTTAAGAAAATGGAGCACTTGAAATATGAAAACTTTTAATGCTCATTTTTCCCTTAAGGAATCCTATTCTTGTAAAATCACTGTGTTACTTTTGTTGATAAATGTTAGGTCTATACTTTTTAGTAACAAATAAACAGAGGTCTCTTAGTTATCTTCTTAGGCAATCCCTGGCTTTACTTTTATAGATTATTGACTCAATTTGTAAACTTTGCATTAACTTTGTAGAAACCTCCAAAGATAGTTTTCTTTTTTGTAAAGGCTAGAATTTCCTGAAGATTTTGGAGTTTCAGTTCATGTTTATTATGACTACCTCAGGGACTGATAGGAGTCTGGAAACATGGGTAAAGTTATTACAAAAAGTTCTACTGAGCTTATTTCAAGAACATTTCTATCTGTGAGGACTAATACCAAGGCTGAAGCTATCGTGTTGTGTTACTTTAAAGCATGATGGAGAAAAAGGAAAAAAAAATGGTGAAAAGAAGCATTTTATTGAGGAAGAGCAATGGAACAAAAACATCAATTGATTTTTCCATGTTCTTGCGTAAAACTGAATGATGTAGCAGCCAAATTATCAAAATCAAAATACTATGTCCCCAGAACAGTTTATCAGAATGTCCGGGATGGTAAGGACTTACAGAACACTTAACTAAGTCTGAAGCCACTTAAATGTGATAAGTAATTTTGTCACACACTCTCCCTCCCTTTTGAAAGAGGGCTGGGAGCAGAGCGGTCTGTGTTCTGTTCAGCTTCAGTTTAGCAAAGAAGAAAAAATACATAAGTGGCACCCTATAGAAACAGTAACAATTCTCTGGGAAAGTTACAATATACTTACTCTTTGGAAATTCAGGTGCAACTTTCTCACAGAGTAAGTAATACTTGAACCAGAGTGCATCTCAGGTCTGAGAAGAACAAAATATATCACAATAAATCCACATTATCATGCTTTCACAAAATATATATAAACTTACTTGTTGTCATCTCACTCCTGCCCTTCCTGCTCCCCAACCTCTTTCTTTTATCTCCTCCAAAAATCATGGAAATGTATGACTATATATAGATGTATATGGTATATGCTACATGGAAATAGCAGGAATCAATCCTGTATTAGCTGCTTGAGACAGTTTCCATCTTCTCTGAGCTTAAGTTTCTCTTCTATAAACCTAAAATAATAATATCTATTTTTTTCAATATTATGAAGATTGTGCTTGGCCTGTAATAGGTGCTCAATGATTGGTGGCTATTAGTACAATTATTTTTATTATTGTCATTATTGTTTTAATTACTATCATAATCATATTGGAGAGTGAATGGGAGACATTTAAACAGCTCATGTGAGAATTTAGCATCTTTTGTATCTTTTGATCAAACACTTCCCTGTAAATAAAATATTTTGGTTTTGATAACAGGGAGATAATGTGACAATTAGATGTGTCACTAGAATAGAAGGCAGATATTAATGCCAACCTTGTGTATTTACACCACTAGAACATATTTTTAAAAAGCTAATGATAGTTACCCTATTTGAAATTTGAAAACTACAACTACAAACTTTAAAATGTAACCATACCCAGCATTTTTTGTTAAAATCATTCTGAAATCATTATTTTAAGATGGCTAATGGTACTACCCCATGCCAGCCACTAGCAGCCAAGTGAGCCTAGCCCCATATTGCCTTAGGATACGAGTCTTCCTGCTTCCCTTCTAGCCCTAGGAAGAACTAGAGACCATCTCAGCCTTCAAATGCAAAGCTAATGTTCAAGCAATAGTAGTTGAAAGCACCTCTACTAATCACAACATATGATATAGTAATATAGTAGGGTTCTGTTTGCAGTAATACAGCATTAGATATGGGTAGGAAAATTTAACCAATGAAAAATGCATGTTTTATAACTATTCTATTTCCTATGGAACTTCCCTGCACAAAGGGAAAAGAATTTGACTTTTCAAGGTAGGAAACAACTTTTGTAAATTAAACTATGAATCCCAGTGTGTTTTTAGAAAAGTATTGCTTAGGTCTGTGGAGGCAAAATCTAATTTCACCATTGCTAGTATTATGTGCATGTGTTTTAGAGCAGCTGGAAGATAAATTCAGGACTTTGTTATAATTCTTTAAATATAAAATTTTGATGCTATTTTTTCTTAAGGTTGCAGGGTTCATATGATATAGCCTATGGATAAAAACTATACTTTGTACGTGTGTACTTAAGCTACAAATTAATTATGTCAGTACTCACTTAACTGCATCTCCCAATTAAAGTCTAATTTTAAGGGCAGAAAATAAAGATTGACCTTTCAAATAAATGGATCTCCAAATATCACGTGATTTAAGTAAACTAAATTTGAATCCTATGGTTAATCTTTCTTCATAAAAAAAGTCTTCAGTCATTTCTGTCAAAATTGGACCTCCCAAATGGAGTTACTATGTATCTATTTCCATCCTTAAACCACACATTTGGTTCACAAATTAAGTAATTATGAGTACAAAGGGATCTTGGGAAGTGCAATCACTTTACTGGCACATGCAAGTAAAATATGGATGCTCAATTTCCATCTTAATGCATGCAAATGATAGACCCGCACTTAAGGGCTTTATAACCACCCCTGTGCACAGCCTTTTGCTTTGGCTATTAGGTTTAAGGCAATATCCTGTTACTCTGGGCATGTTGAACAATGTTTCGCATGAGAATTGCCTCCAATTCTATTTTTGTTCAAATTTCTAATTTCATTTCTAATAAAGATTAATTGTCATACTTAAGGCATTCTTTTGCCTAAGAAGGTTGAGATGTTATTGTATTTCATTTTATAATGAAACCAGTATATTTTTCTTTTTGGGTTCTATAATCCTTGTAGGACCTTGGATCCAGCATTTACTAAATGTGTGGTCTAATCTTCTTGGGACTTCCTGTCCTCGTCTGAGAAACAGGACTGTACTCGGGGTTGCAATGTACAAGGCACGAGGTCTGCACTCTGTGAAAACTGCACTGTGATAACTCTATGGTTAACTCTTTAAGGAATTCCTGGATTGTTTTCCAAAGTGGCTCCATCATTTTACATTGCTACCAAAAGTGCGTGAAGACTCTGATTTCTCCACATTCTCAACAACGCTTGTTATCATCTGACTTTTGATTTTAGCCATCCTAGTGGCTGTGAAGTTGTGCCTCATTATGGTTTTGAATTGCATTTCCCCAATAGCTAGTGATATTGAGCAACTTTTCATGTGTTTAGTAGTCATTTGTATATCTTTTTGGGAAAATGTCTTTTCAAATTTTTTGCCCATTTAAAAATGTGATTATTTATCTTTTCATTATTCAATTGTAGAGTTCCTTATATATTCTGGATACAAATCTTTATCAGATATGTAATTTTCAAAATTGTTCTTCCATTCTATGGATTGTCTTTCCACTTTCTTGAAGATGTCCTTTGAAGCACAAAAGTTTTTTATTTTGTTGAGGTTCAAATATTTATTTTTTTCTTTTATTGCTTATGATTTAGTATCATAGTTACAAAATCCATGTCATGTGTTACAGTGGCACAATGACATATTTTGAGAAACACTGGTCTAATTGTCAGATGGTCCTTGAGTTGTGCAGTTCATTCTTTTGGAATCTGATCTGGATTTATTAGAAGCTACCATCTATAGAAAGATCAGCCTAAGCCAGATCCCGGCAATGAGACATTATATTCCATTTATTCATTCATTGAGTGGCTACTGGAGCACTGCAGGTATTATGGAAATTAGAAAGAGATGCCAACTGTGGCAGATAGTGTCCCTTGGGTGCAAGTCTTGGTGGGTTTGTGTAACCAGTGGGCCCATCCTCTGGTCCACTGTAACCCTGTGCTGGGCCAATGACCTTAACTAGCAGAACTTGAGTGGGTTTTCAGGCCGTGCTCATCCCCTTGGCCAGACACATTTGTGCAGTACTCAGACTACACACACATATGTGCCCACACATGGTGGTCCTGGCCACTTTATTGGGTACTTTATTTTGTAATCTCATCAAATACTGGTGTTAATTCTGTGGTGTAGATATCATTTTGTCAATGAAGAAACTCAGTTCAATTGGTTTACTTTAGTTGAAAATGAGTAAATCATAGAGCGGAGATTCATACCCTCTATGTCTTCAGTTCTAATATTCTTTACATTATGCCACTGTCTCATATTCTGTGGGCACTCAAGTTTTGACATCTTAAAGCCTATTAAATTCCTTCAACTGAAACCCCATTAGGAACTGCCTGACATGTCAGGAACCTATTTACCACGCTGAAGTCTGCACTCAGTGTCCTACTCCTTTTGTGTTGCTTCCCTGTATCACACACCTGGCTTTTCCATTTAGGACTAGCAAGTATTAGGCAGTGTTTCTCTTCTTCTATTGCTGAACTATAGCAAGGTCTCTTTTACATCTGTGAAGTTGCCAAAATACTATGAATTGGAGGAAATCCTGAATTTGTGTAGGGGATTGCCTTATCACCAGAATGCGGGGACATTTTTATTCAAATGTGAATGTGATGGTTAATGTTAGGTGTCATTGTGACTAGATTGAGGGATGTCTAGATGGCTGGTGATGCATTGTTTCTGGGTGTGTCTGTGAGGGTGTTTACAGAGGAGATTGGCATGTGAGTCAGCAGACTGGGAGCAGGCACTATCCAATTGGGCCAGTGAGCTAGAACAAAGCAAATAAAAGAAGGGGGATATTTGGCTTGCTTAGCTTCCTTTTCCACTATCTCTTCCGGAGTGAGATGTCTTTTCTCCTCCTGCCCCTGGACATCGGACTCCAGGATCTTTGGCCTTTGGATTCTGGGACTTGCCCCAGTCACCTCCTGGGGGATCTCAGACTTTTGGCCTCAGACTGGGGACTGCACTGTCAGCTTACCTGGTTTTGAGGCTTTCAAACTTGGACAGAGCCACACTATGGTTTTTTTTTTTTTTTTCTCATCCCCCAGCTTGCAGACAGCCTATTGTGAAACTTCATCATTGTAATCAGGTTAGCCAGTTCTCCCTGATAACTCAGACACACACACCTCTCTCTCTCTCTCTTTATGTGTGTGTGTGTGTGTGTGTGTGTGTGTATTTTATTGGTTCTGTCCCTCTGGAGAGCCCTGATTCATACAGATTTGAAGCACAGGCACACAAATACACAAGGGCATAGATAGAAAGCCAAGGGGCTATGGCAGGAGAGACTAGAGGAGAGGATTTTATAATTTCTTTCTTTGTAGGGAAATCTTTTTTTGCCAAAGAGAGACATGTTGCTGCATTTTGGATAACCTGTTTTTTCTCCTTGCCAATACATTTTGCTCTGTCTTCTACCATATTTTATTCTTTTGTGGAGGAGACTGCCTCTTTTCTCTCTTTTCCTCTTGGGAGAAGTGAAAAAGATGCTCCAAGAGAATACTTCATAGATGATGAAGATGTATGTAAGAAGTGGAGCTCAGCATATCTCCTCAGGAAATGAATTTGTCAATCATCCTTGCACCTACCTGAAAAGAAGCAAAAGTATTTGAAGAGAAGTGACTGGAAGGAGAGCATGGGTAGCCTGTGCTCCCCCTGTTTGGTCAGACAAGTATCAGGATTGAAGTTTTTTTTTTTTTTTATGGGCTAAGTGACAGAGCCCTGCTCATTTCCCTGGCCGAATACATTTACGTTGTACTCGGACTGGCAGCAACTAGACTAAAGTGGCCTTGCTCTTGTCCTAAGGATGGCCTATTAGAGGAGGGGACCACAGCAGCAGGGGATATGAAGCATGTCAGCTGGCACAGAGTTAAGGAAGATAAAGGATGAAGAAGCCTGGTTGCATTTCCTAGGGCAGGAAATTGTTTAGCAGGGATGTGTCTTATGCATTTTAGGAAAGTGCGCATGTGTGTCCTCCAGGTGAACAACACTGGGCCATCTGCCACACTAGCAGCATTGGCTGTGACACTGTTATCCAGGGAAGCATCTATAATTCTAAAGTGGATTGCAGCAGCTGCCAGGTAAGTAAGATAGCCCTGTCCCTTTCATGTATCCTCACTTTGCTACTTCATAACAGAGAAGTTGAAGCCTAAGAGAGTGATATCAGCAAGATAGGAGAGAAGGAGATGCCAGCTTTTATCCCTCCAGAAAAAAACAGACAACTATTCACAAACAAAAATAGCCTTGGAAGGGATCCAGGTTTCAATTACAAACCAGCAGCAAAACAGTGGAGCAAAAACTGGAGAATAACTGCACAGAAGGGATAGCTGGAGAGACTGGCATACTTGAGACATCTGGAGATGGCTAGGTTCAAAGAATAAGAATGGGGGCTATCAGTATCAGTCAGGTAATGGATGCTACCCTTGTCCCCTGTAACCTGCTTGGCAGAGGACACCAGTAGCTTTCCCGACTAAAGTAACCTCCAGATAGGGAGATGCTGCTGAGCTCGCTACATTCCCTAAGAAGGAGTCACTGTTATGCCTATATGCTGCCTTTCTCAATCATGTGCGTACTGAAGATCCTTAAGCTGTGGCCACCCCAGCATACTTACCCTCCAGATCCTTGCTCTGTAGTCACACCACATGTTCCTTTTCCCCAGACACTGGAGCCACTACTGCTGCAAACTAGCCTCTCCCTTGGCCTCATAGCTGAGGCCACTCTGTGTGCATCTGTGCTCTGGACCATGGCTCTGCAACCTGAGAGGGTCTATACCTCAGACATGGAAGCCACTGCCCACACCTTGGGACCCCATAGTCAATGTCACTCTGCACACACCTCTCCCAGACCCTGCCTCTGTGGCTGCTCCAAGAGTACCAGCACTGTAGATACTAGAGCCATCACTACAGCAGGTGTATCTGTGCCCTGATCCCTGGAGCAGCAGTAGACCTGCACATGACCATGCTGCAAACCCCAGAGCCACTGTCACTCCACATGTACACAAGCTCCAGCCCCTGACACTGTGGCTACTCCATGAAGGTCCATATCAGACACCAGTGCCACCCTCACTATGAGCATATGTGCAAGTCGGACTTGGCACCATGAGGGATCTCCTTGGTCATGAATTCCCTTGTGGGAAAAGTAGAGATCAAAAGAATCTCAGTAGCCTTTGTCACCAAAGATTCCAACTGCCTTCACCACCACTGTGGATATCCTCAGTCGTGATCACCAAGGACTCCTGTAATCTCTGCTGATGCCAGCTCAGCTGACAGAATCACATGAAGACTATGCCTCTGCACCCTCACTGGTGCCAGAACTGTTGCACCCTATCCATCTAGCATCTTCACACCAACCTAGAGGTGAAGGTCTTTTCCCACTGAAACTAGCCCATAAAGTCTGGAAGACGTGAAAACTCCATTAAATTCATAGATATCTATGTAAGGCAAGAATAACCATGAAAAACCAAGGATATATGTAACTACCAAAGGAAGAATAATTTTCTAGTAACCAACCACAAAGAAATGCATACCTACAAATTGCCTAACAAACAATTCAAAAATATTTGTTTTAAGGAAGCTTAGTGAGCTACAAGAAAACTCTAATAGACAACTTAATGACATTAGGAAAATAATACGTGAACAGATGGGAATGATATTAGGAAAACAATACATAAACAGAAGGAGAAGTTCAATAGAGAGAAATATCATCATGAATGTAATGTATGTATGTATGAATGAATGAATGTATAGTCTTAATGACAGGGATACATTCTGAGAAATGTGTCATTAGATGATTTGGTCATTGTGCAGACATCATAGAATATACTTACACAAATCTAGATAGTATAGCCTACTACACAACTAGGTTATATGGTATAGCCTATTGCTACTAAGCTACTAAATACTGTAGGTATCTGTAACACAATGGTAGGAAATTGTGTGTCTAAACATAGAAAAGATGCAGTAAAAATATGGTTTAAAATATTTAAAATGGTACACTAGTATAGGGCAGCTCCATTATAATCTTATGAGACCACCATTTTGAAAACAATTCATCATTGACTGAAATGTTGTTATGTGGCATATGACTGTAATAAAAAAGAACTAAACATAATTCTGGAGTTGAAAAATACGATGAATGAAATGAAAAATATAATAGAGAATGTAAACAGAGGAAAGAATCTGTGAACTCAATGATAGAGCATTTAAAAATATCCAGTCAGAAAAGGAAAAAAAGAGAATGAAAAGCAATAAATAAATTCTTTATAGGACACCATAAAAAGTGCTAACTTTCACATCATAGAATTTTCAGAACTAGGAGAGGAGAGAAATGTACAGAAGCTTATTTCAAGAAATAATGGCTGAAAACTTTTCAAATCTGAGGAAAGATATATACATGAAACTCAAAAGTCTCCAATCAGGTTCAACCCAAAGAAGACTTCAGAAAGACACATTATAATCAAACTGTCAAAAATCAGAGACAGAGAGAGAATCTTGAAGACAGCAAGAGAAGTTCTCACATGCAAGTGTACCACTATGAGGCTATCAGCGTACTTCTAAGCTAAACCCTCACAGGCCAGGAGAGAGTGAAATATTATTTTCAATGCACTGAAAGAAAAAAAAAAACTGTCAGCCAAGAATACTTATATGGCAAAATTTTCTTTATAAATGAAGGATAAAGACTTGCCCAGACAAACAAAAGCTGAGTGAGCTCATTATCCCTAGATCTTCCTTACAAGAAATACTAAAGGGAATCCTTCAAGCTGAAGTGAAATGATGCAAATCATTAACATAAAAACATATGAAAGCACAAAACTCACTAATAAATGTAAGTATATAGACAAATTCAGAATATTCTAATACAGTAATGGTGATGTATACATCACTTACATTTGTAGTCTAAAGGTTAAAAGACAAAACTATTAAAATATAGCTACAATAATTTTTAATAGATACACAGTGTGAAAAGATGTAAATTTTTGACATCAAAAACAAAATGGAGGAGGAGACTAAAAGCATAATTTTTATATGCTATCAAAACTCAGTTGTTATCAGCTTAAAACAGACTGTTATAACTGTCAGATGTCACATATAAGTCTCATAGTAATCAGAAAGCAAAAACCGATAATAGATATACAAAAGATAAAGAAGTCAAAACACATCACTACAAAAAATCATCAAATCACAAAGGAAGACAGCCAAGAAAAGAACAAAGAAACAAAGAATCTACAAAATAGTCAGAAAATAATTAACAAAATGGCAATAATAAGTCCTACTATATTAATAATGATAAGGAATGTAAATTAGTGAAATTCTCCAATCAAAAGACATAGAATGGCTGAATGAATAATGGATTTTTTTTTTTGAAGAAGAAGACCCACCTATATGCTGCCTAAAATAAGCTCATTTAGCTTTAAGGACACACACAGATTGAAAGCAAAAGGATGTAAAAAATATTCCATGCAAATGGAAACTCAAAAAGAGCAGGAGTAGCTAGACTTAGGCAAAATAGACTTTCACTTCAAAAACTGCAAAGAGAGAAAAAGAAAGTCAATTCATTAAAATGATATACAATTATAAATATATATGCACCCAACAATAGAGTACCTAATATATAATGCAAATATTAATAGGTATAAAGGGAGAACTTGACAGCAATACAATGATAATAGAGGACTTTAGTATCTCACTTACAGCAAGATTGATCATCCAGACCAAAATCAGTGTGAAAACATTGGACTTTAACTACACTTTCCCTATTGATTTATTCTACGTTAATGCTGCAAATTCTAGCCAGAGCAGTTAGACAAGGCAAAACAATAAAAGATATCCAAATTTGGCAGGAAGTACAAAATTGTCTGTTTGCAGATGATATGTTCCTATACAGAGAAAACTGTAAAGAATACTATTAGGACTAATAAGCAAATTCCGTTTCAGTATACAAAATCAATACACAAAAATCAGTTGAGGCTGGGCGTGGTGGCTCACGTCTGTAATCCCAGCACCTTGGGAGGCTGAGGTGGGTGGATCACCTGAGGTCAGGAGTTTGAGACCAGCCTGGCCCACATGGTGAAACTTTATCTCTACTAAAAATACAAAAATTAGCCAGGCATGGTGGCACACACCTGTAGTCCCAGCTACTTGGGAGGCTGGGGCAGGAGAACTGCTTGAACCTGGGAGGTGGAGGTTGCAGTGAGCTGAGATTGGACCACTGCACTCCAGCCTAGGTGACAGAGTGAGATGCCATCTCAAAAAAAAAAAAAAAAAAAAAAAGTTGAATTTGTATACATTAACAACAAACTATCCAAGAAAAAAAATTAAAAGGCCAACTTTATTTGTAATTGCATCAAAAAGGATAAAATACTTACGGGGAAAATAAGTCAAGGAGATGAAAGATCTGTACAATAAAAACTATAAGACATTGAGAAAAGATACTGAAGCAGAGAAAAAACCACATAGAAAGATATCCTGTGTTTGTGGATTGAAAGAATCAATATTGTTAAGATCTTCATACTACCTAAGATGATTTATAGATTCAATATAATTCCTACCAAAATTCCAATGGTATTTTTCACACAAATAAAAAAAGCAATTCTAAAATTCATGTGGAACTATGAAAAACCCCAAACAGTGAAAGCATTTTTGAGCAAAAAGAACAAAGCTGGGGCATCAAATTTCCTGATTTTAAGTTATACTTCAAAGCTATATTAAGCAAAACAGTATGGAACTGGCATAAGAATGGACGCATAGACAAATGAAGCAGCACAGAAAGTCCAGAAATAAAATAACTAATTCAAAGAGATATCTGCACTCCCATGTACATTACAGCATTAATCACAATAGCCATGATACAGAAACAAACTGTTTCCATTGACAGACGAATGGATAAAGAAATTATGGTGTCACACACACATATGTATGTGTGTGTGTGTTTGTGTGTCTAGTAGTAGTAGTAGAATATTATTCAGCCTTGAAAAGGAAGGAAATCCTGCCAGTTGTGATAAGATGGAGGAACCTGGACAATATTATGCTAAGTTAAATAAGCCAGACACAGAAAGACAAATACTGCAGGATATCACTTATATGTGGAATCTAAAACAGTTGAACTCATAGAAGCAGAGAATAGAAGGGTGGTTGCCAGGAGTCAGGGAGTGGGAGAAATGGGGAGATGCTGATCACAGGGTACAAAATTACAGTTATAAGATGGCTAGATTTTGCAGACCTAGGTACAGCATGGTGACTGCAGTTATTTTTTTTCTTTTTTTTTTTTTACTTGACCATAGTTATTAATACTGTATTGTATACTTGACATGTGCTAAGAGAGTAGATCTTAAGTATATGGATATGTTAATTAGCTGACTGCAGCAATCATTTCACAATGTATATGTATAGCAAAACATCACATTGTACACTTTAAAATATATACAACTTTTACATGTCAATTATACCTAATTAAGCTGGAGACAAAAGAAAGAAGTAGAAGCCTAGAAAAAGCAAGAGCAGAGGTCCCAGAGCAGACTACCAAGGCCCCAGTCCCAGTCCAGTGTTGGGGAGGGAAAGGAATTGTAAAAAGCAGACTTCTCTGCCCAGTTCTTCTCCTCTGAGCCACAGGCATAGAAGCTTTGCTGGAGGGAAAACCTTAATTAGTACATGAGATTAGCATTTTACACTAAAAACAGGCATTTATTAATTAAAAGTGTTCAGATAGTTATGGAATCTATCCAAGATTCAAGAACCTTAATCTCAACAGAGGAGATATTTAACATACCAGTTTAGGCAGTGATTAGAAAGAAAGGAAATTCCCAGGATTTATTTATTTATTTATTAATTTTTTATTTATTTATTTTTTGCTTTTTTTTTTTTTTAATTATACTTTAAGTTTTAGGGTACATGTGCACATTGTGCAGGTTAGTTACATATGTATACATGTGCCATGCTGGTGCGCTGCACCCACTAACTCGTCATCTAGCATTAGGTATATCTCCCAGTGCTATCCCTCCCCCCTCCCCCCACCCCACCACAGTCCCCAGAGTGTGATATTCCCCTTCCTGTGTCCATGTGATCTCATTGTTCAATTCCCACCTATGAGTGAGAATATGCGGTGTTTGGCTTTTTGTTCTTGCGATAGTTTACTGAGAATGATGATTTCCAATTTCATCCATGTCCCTACAGAGGACATGAACTCATCATTTTTTATGGCTGCATAGTATTCCGGGGTGTATATGTGCCACATTTTCTTAATCCAGTCTATCATTGTTGGACATTTGGGTTGGTTCCAAGTCTTTGCTATTGTGAACAATGCCGCAATAAACATACGTGTGCATGTGTCTTTATAGCAGCATGATTTAGAGTCCTTTGGGTATATACCCAGTAATGGGATGGCTGGGTCAAATGGTATTTCTAGTTCTAGATCCCTGAGGAATCGCCACACTGACTTCCACAATGGTTGAACTAGTTTACAGTCCCACCAACAGTGTAAAAGTGTTCCTATTTCTCCACATCCTCTCCAGCACCTGTTGTTTCCTGACTTTTTAATGATTGCCATTCTAACTGGTGTGAGATGGTATCTCATTGTGGTTTTGATTTGCATTTCTCTGATGGCCAGTGATGATGAGCATTTTTTCATGTGTTTTTTTGGCTGCATAAATGTCTTCTTTTGAGAAGTGTCTGTTCATGTCCTTCGCCCACTTTTTGATGGGGTTGTTTGTTTTTTTCTTGTAAATTTGTTTGAGTTCATTGTAGATTCTGGATATTAGCCCTTTGTCAGATGAGTAGGTTGTGAAAATTTTCTCCCATTTTGTAGGTTGCCTGTTCACTCTGATGGTAGTTTCTTTTGCTGTGCAGAAGCTCTTTAGTTTAATTAGATCCCATTTGTCAATTTTGGCTTTTGTTGCCATTGCTTTTAGTGTTTTAGACATGAAGTCCTTGCCCATGCCTATGTCCTGAATGGTAATGCCTAGGTTTTCTTCTAGGGTTTTTATGGTTTTAGGTCGAACGTTTAAGTCTTTAATTCATCTTGAATTGATTTTTGTATAAGGTGTAAGGAAGGGATCCAGTTTCAGCTTTCTACATATGGCTAGCCAGTTTTCCCAGCACCATTTATTAAATAGGGAATCCTTTCCCCATTGCTTGTTTTTCTCAGGTTTGTCAAAGATCAGATAGCTGTAGATATGTGGCGTTATTTCTGAGGGCTCTGTTCTGTTCCATTGATCTATATCCCTGTTTTGGTACCAGTACCATGCTGTTTTGGTTTCTGTAGCCTTGCAGTATAGTTTGAAGTCAGGTAGTGTGATGCCTCCAGCTTTGTTCTTTTTGCTTAGGATTGACTTGGCGATGCAGGCTCTTTTTTGGTTCCATATGAACTTTAAAGTAGTTTTTTCCAATTCTGTGAAGAAAGGCATTGGTAGCTTGATGGGGATGGCATTGAATCTGTAAATTACCTTGGGCAGTATGGCCATTTTCACGATATTGATTTTTCCTACCCATGAGCATGGAATGTTCTTCCATTTGTTTGTATCCTCTTTTATTTCCTTGAGCAGTGGTTTGTAGTTCTCCTTGAAGAGGTCCTTCACATCCCTTGTAAGTTGGATTCCTAGGTATTTTATTCTCTTTGAAGCAATTGTGAATGGGAGTTCACTCATGATTTGGCTCTCTGTTTGTCTGTTGTTGATGTATAAGAATGCTTGTGATTTTTGTACATTGATTTTGTATCCTGAGACTTTGCTGAAGTTGCTTATCAGCTTAAGGAGATTTTGGGCTGAGACAATGGGGTTTTCTAGATATACAATCATGTCATCTGCAAACAGGAACAATTTGACTTCCTCTTTTCCTAATTGAATACCCTTCATTTCCTTCTTCTGCCTGATTGCCCGGCCAGAACTTCCAACACTATGTTGAATAGGAATGGTGAGAGAGGGCATCCCTGTCTTGTGCCAGTTTTCAAAGGGAATGCTTCCAGTTTTTGCCCATTTAGTATGATATTGGCTGTGGGTTTGTCATAGATAGCTCTTATTATTTTGAAATACATCCCATCAATACCTAATTTATTGAGAGTTTTTAGTGTGAAGGGTTGTTGAATTTTGTCAAAGGCTTTTTCTGCATCTATTGAGATAATCATGTGGTTTTTGTCTTTGGCTCTGTTTATATGCTGGATTACATTTATTGATTTGCGTACATTGAACCAGCCTTGCATCCCAGGGATGAAGCCCACTTGATCTTGGTGGATAAGCTTTTTGATGTGCTGCTGGATTCGTTTTGCCAGTATTTTATTGAGGATTTTTGCATCAATGTTCATCAAGGATATTGGTCTAAAATTCTCTTTTTTGGTTGTGTCTCTGCCTGGCTTTGGTATCAGAATGATGCTGGCCTCATAAAATGAGTTAGGGAGGATTCCCTCTTTTTCTATTGATTGGAATAGTTTCAGAAGGAATGGTACCAGTTCCTCCTTGTATCTCTGGTAGAATTCGGCTGTGAATCCATCTGGTCCTGGACTCTTTTTGGTTGGTAAGCTATTGATTATTGCCACAATTTCAGATCCTGTTATTGGTCTATTCAGAGATTCAACTTCTTCCTGGTTTAGTCTTGGGAGAGTGTATGTGTCGAGGAATGTATCCATTTCTTCTAGATTTTCTAGTTTATTTGCGTAGAGGTGTTTGTAGTATTCTCTGATGGTAGTTTGTATTTCTGTTGGATCGGTGGTGATATCCCCTTTATCATTTTTTATTGTGTCTATTTGATTCTTCTCTCTTTTTTTCTTTATTAGTCTTGCTAGCAGTCTATCAATTTTGTTGATCCTTTCAAAAAACCAGCTCCTGGATTCATTAATTTTTTGAAGGGTTTTTTGTGTCTCTATTTCCTTCAGTTCTGCTCTGATTTTAGTTATTTCTTGCCTTCTGCTAGCTTTTGAATGTGCTTGCTCTTGCTTTTCTAGTTCTTTTAATTGTGATGTTAGGTTGTCAATTTTGGATCTTTCCTGCTTTCTCTTGTGGGCATGTAGTGCTATAAATTTCCCTCTACACACTGCTTTGAATGCATCCCAGAGATTCTGGTATGTTGTGTCTTTGTTCTCGTTGGTTTCAAAGAACATCTTTATTTCTGCCTTCATTTTGTTATGTACCCAGTAGTCTTCAGGAGCAGGTTGTTCATTTTCCATGTAGTTGAGCGGTTTTGAGTGAGATTCTTAATCCTGAGTTCTAGTTTGATTGCACTGTGGTCTGAGAGATAGTTTGTTATAATTTCTGTTCTTTTACATTTGCTGAGGAGAGCTTTACTTCCAAGTATGTGGTCAGTTTTGGAATAGGTGTGGTGTGGTGCTGGAAAAAATGTATATTCTGTTGATTTGGGGTGGAGAGTTCTGTAGATGTCTATTAGGTCTGCTTGGTGCAGAGCTGAGTTCAATTCCTGGGTATCCTTGTTGACTTTCTGTCTCGTTGATCTGTCTAATGTTGTCAGTGGGGTGTTAAAGTCTCCCATTATTAATGTGTGGGAGTCTAAGTCTCTTTATAGGTCACTCAGGACTTGCTTTATGAATCTGGGTGCTCCTATATTGGGTGCATATATATTTAGGATAGTTAGCTCTTCTTGTTGAATTGATCCCTTTACCATTATGTAATGGCCTTCTTTGTCTCTTTTGATCTTTGTTGGTTTAAAGTCTGTTTTAGCAGAGACTAAGATTGCAACCCCTGCCTTTTTTTGTTTTCCATTTGCTTGGTAGATCTTCCTCCATCCATTTATTTTGAGCCTATGTGTGTCTCTGCACGTGAGATGGGTTTCCTGAATACAGCACACTGATGGGTCTTGACTCTTTATCCAATTTGCCAGTCTGTGTCTTTTAATTGGAGCATTTAGTCCATTTACATTTAAAGTTAATATTTTTATGTGTGAATTTGATCCTGTCATTATGATGTTAGCTGGTTATTTTGCTCGTTAGTTGATGCAGTTTCTTCCTAGTCTTGATGGTCTTTACATTTTGGCATGATTTTGTGGCGGCTGGTACCGGTTGTTCCTTTCCATGTTTAGCGCTTCCTTCAGGAGCTCTTTTAGGGCAGGCCTGGTGGTGACAAAATCTCTGAGCATTTGCTTGCCTGTAAAGTATTTTATTTCTCCTTCACTTATGAAGCTTAGTTTGGCTGGATATGAAATTCTGGGCGTTGAAAATTCTTTTCTTTAAGAATGTTGAATATTGGCCCCCACTCTCTTCTGGCTTGTAGGGTTTCTGCCGAGAGATCAGCTGTTAGTCTGATGGGCTTCCCTTTGAGGGTAACCCGACCTTTCTCTCTGGCTGCCCTTAACATTTTTTCCTTCATTTCAACTTTGGTGAATCTGATAATTATGTGTCTTGGAGTTGCTCTTCTCGAGGAGTATCTTTGTGGCGTTCTCTGTATTTCCTGAATCTGAACGTTGGCCTGCCTTGCTAGATTGGGGAAGTTCTCCTGGATAATATCCTGCAGAGTGTTTTCCAACTTGGTTCCATTCTCCGCATCACTTTCAGGTACACCAGTCAGACGTAGATTTGGTCTTTTCACATAGTCCCATATTTCTTGGAGGCTTTGCTCATTTCTTTTTATTCTTTTTTCTCTAAACTTCCCTTCTCGCTTCATTTCATTCATTTCATCTTCCATCGCTGATACCCTTTCTTCCAGTTGATCGCATCAGCTCCTGAGGCTTCTGCATTCTTCACGTAGTTCTCGAGCCTTGGTTTTCAGCTCCATCAGCTCCTTTAAGCACTTCTCTGTATTGGTTATTCTATACATTCTTCTACATTTTTTTCAAAGTTTTCAACTTCTTTGCCTTTGGTTTGAATGTCCTACCGTAGCTCAGAGTAATTTGATCGTCTGAAGCCTCCTTCTCTCAGCTCGTCAAAGTCATTCTCCATCCAGCTTCGTTCCGTTGCTGGTGAGGAACTGCGTTCCTTTGGAGGAGGAGAGGCGCTCTGCTTTTTAGAGTTTCCAGTTTTTCTGTTTTTTCCCCATCTTTGTGGTTTTCTCTACTTTTGGTCTTTGATGATGGTGATGTACAGATGGGTTTTTGGTGTGGATGTCCTTTCTGTTTGTTAGTTTTCCTTCTAACAGACAGGACCCTCAGCTGCAGTTCTGTTGGAATACCCTGCAGTGTGAGGTGTCAGTGTGCCCCTGCTGGGTGGTGCCTCCCAGTTAGGCTGCTCAGGGGTCAGGGGTCAGGGATCAACTTGAGGAGGCAGTCTGCCCGTTCTCAGATCTCCAGCTGCGTGCTGGGAGAACCACTGCTCTCTTCAAAGCTGTCAGACAGGGACATTTAAGTCTGCAGAGGTTACTGCTGTCTTTTTGTTTGTCTGTGCCCTGCCCCCAGAGGTGGAGCCTACAGAGGCAGGCAGGCCTCCTTGAGCTGTGGTGGGCTCCACCCAGTTCGAGCTTCCCAGCTGCTTTGTTTACCTAAGCAAGCCTGGGCAATGGCGGGCGCCCCTCCCCCAGCCTCGCTGCCGCGTTGCAGTTTGATCTCAGACTGCTGTGCTAGCAATCAGGGAGACTCCGTGGGCGTAGGACCCTCTGAGCCAGGTGTGGGATATACTCTCGTGGTGCGCCGTTTTTTAAGCCGGTCGGAAAAGCGCAGTATTCGGGTGGGAGTGACCCGATTTTCCAGGTGCGTCCGTCACCCCTTTCTTTGACTTGGAAAGGGAACTCCCTGACCCCTTGCGCTTCCCAAGTGAGGCAATGCCTCGCCCTGCTTCGGCTCGTGCACGGTGCGCGCACCCACTGACCTGCGCCCACTGTCTGGCACTCCCTAGTGAGATGAACCCGGTACCTCAGATGGAAATGCAGAAATCACCCGTCTTCTGCGTCGCTCACGCTGGGAGCTGTAGACCGGAGCTGTTCCTATTCGGCCATCTTGGCTCCGAAATTCCCAGGTTTTAATTATTAAAACTCCTTGAGTGGGATCTACAAAATAACCTGGTTTTGAGCAACCTAATTTTTTACTCAGGTCTGCTCTTTCCTACTCCCTCTCCCATGGTTTGCCAAACATCACCCATGCATCTGTTCCCAACATTGTCCTCTCCCCAGTTTTTCCATTTGCCATAGAAACTTTCAGTCTTGATTAGGTATCTCTGGGTCATCTTAGGAAACAATTTCCAATTATAATCAAATTTTTAGCTCATTCCTCAGGTTCATGCATTCTTGAAACCTCCTTCCTGACTTCTCCCCACCTGCTTCCAAAAATGCAACTGTCTATGCCACAGTGTATAGGTATTTTCTATTTCATTTACAGCCGAATGTGCTTATCCTTATGAACAGTGGCAAATTGGTCTTTTAGACCTGAGAATACGTTGTTTCAAGATATCAAATCACGTGAAGTCTATTGGTTAGGAATGTGCATGAGGACTACAGAATTAACAGTATTATTGCTTAAGACACTCTCAGAAAAATGCAACCACAGTTACCACTTGGGTTCCTAGGGCTTTACCTCCCTCAGCTGCAAAGGGAAAAGAGACTTTCGTGGTCCCTGGAACAGGGGCTCAAGAGGAGCCTGGGCTGCTGGTGGCACATGGTAAGTACCAAGAAAGGGAGCTAGGTAGGGCTAGGGCATCCTGCCTGCCTTCTACACTTTGGTTTCAGTGTTCCTTGTTTCTTCAGAAATCCTGGTGTATTGGTCCCTTTCTTCTTCCTTGAACTTTCCCCGTCATTGCTTTTTCCCCTTCTTAAGCCACTGCAGAACACACTGTCTCTTGGGGATTCATAAGGGTGTTTACTGATAAGAAATAAAAAGAAGAAGAAAAGGAGACAGTGGATAAAGGGAACAAAATGAGTACCGTTTCTGCTCCCTTCCCATCCTTCTTGTCTTTTATCATTTAAACTTTTAAATGTTACAATTGGCATCCCTTGGGTGGGAATCGGCCCACAGACTAGTTTTGTCTGGCCTGTTTAACATTTTAAAAGCTGGAAATACTGGGCCAACAGCCCCACATTACAATTGGCTGGAACTAAGCAGTAATGAGTCTTCTACTTGAAGAGACTCCTCACTATTCTCTATTGTTTACTTCTCTACTTCACGCTTTTATGATATCCTCATGGCCTCAGTAAGTCATTTGAGTTTCCAGTGTTTCTCAAAGCAGAGAGTATGTTGTATTCCTGTTTTCATCTATACTCTGTAATGAAATTCTCAGGTGTAGAGCACTCTCAACTGATGTAGTCATTTTACATTTTCTCTCTCTCTCTCTCTCTCTCTCTCTCTCTCTCTCTCTCTCTATATATATATATATATATATATATATATATCTGAAGTAAGAAAACTTTGGACTAGGGTAATTTATAGCCCTTCTGGACCTTAACTACCATGAGTTGAAAGTTCATTTATGATTCCCAGAACAATAGTTTTCAGGCCTTATCTGGATAGTCCTTCCCAGGAATTGAGATGAGAGGGAATCAAACTAGGTCTCTGGGAGGGAGAAGCACTGAGACTCAGGCTGGGGATTTAGCTGATGAGGCAGCCCTGGGTGTATGAAGGTAGCAGTAGGGATGATCCTGGTGGAGGAAAGGAGCTGAGAGAGGAAGGAGTTGATGGAAGAGTTCACATTAATCTCCAACATCGTAAGACTTGTCACCTTATCCTGCTCCAACCAAGGTAGCAAAGCCTGCAACCCTAACCAGGCTTGGTAGTGATGAGAATATTGGGAGTTACAGCAGATGTAAATGGTACCCCACCCATAGCCCCTCGCCTGTGTCGTTTCTGGGCATGCTAGCCCAAGTTCTAATTGCAGCCCCTACCTACATCTTTTAGCTTATTGCTTTCAGTGGTTCCTTGTCCCTTGTGGAAATAAACCAGAGCCCAGTCTGCCTGTGCACAGGGCAGAAATGGGAGAGGATACACACCCACTGGAGAAGCCCTCCACCAGCAAGTGTATAAATACTTCAGCTCCCTCACCTCTCAGATGGGATGCTTCTGAGGTGCATGTCTGTTCTGTACTGTTCCTGAGCATTTCTAATGGGAATAAGCGCCACTTACTCAGTGCAACCTGCTAGAAATGCTCCTTTCCCCATCCTCCTTCCCTTCCCTGCCTCATTTCTCACTTCCCTATAGAGGGTTGTTGATCTCACCTCTTAAATAAACTATTTGCATTTGAATCCTTGTCACAGGGTTTGCTGCTGTGGGAATCCAAACTAAGATAGTTACCTTGTGAGATGATATGGGAGGGAGGAGGCAAGAAAAGACAGCTGCCACAAGAGAGAAGATAAAACAAAAAGTGGCCAAAGGAGTTGTGGAAATGGGGATAGGAAAGGCCATTACACATTCTCAAGTTCTTTTGTGAGGGAAGCCTATAGATTGGATATTATATTTTAAATCATATTATTTTAACTTTATGATAACTAAGAAGGAGAATTTTTAGCACATTGTTCTTTTCTCTTGTTTTCTAGTGACTCCATTTGATACTGGTGCCCAGTAGTCAGAGACCCTAGTACCCTTAGAGTATTCAATTTCCCTGAGCTTCTTTTCTTATTAGGATGACAACCAATGCTTTTCTTTATCATTCTCCTTTTTTTCACATAGTACAAATGTTGGATTTATCACTTACAATGAACCCTGACAACATGTTGGGGTTTTAAAATAACATGTTGTTATTTTACCAACTATATTGCATACACCAGTGATATAGTTGTATATAGTTGCTAAATATATGTACCAACAACATGTTATAAGAAAATAAGAAAGATGATTTTGTCACGTGCAATAAAGTTAATGCCTGGGATTCAGTGTTAATAGATTATGTGCATGAAAGAGATTTTCCAGTAAGGGAGATAGATTTACTGAACTATTATCCTTCCTTCATCCATTTGTAGTCAATGGGATGTTTTTTAAAATGATGTCTAGCTGAACCAGCCAATGGAGACAAAAATATTTATATATAATTTTCCTCTAAGTTCACTAGTCATTTTATAGATCAGTTATAACTTTGGCTACTCCAATGAGTTAATTTCTTTCTAGAGACATTATAAACTCCTTAAAGATGGAAAATAATTGTTACTTTTTTGAATAATGCCTACTATCTAAAACAATGCACATAAAAGCTGCTCAATAAACTTTTGTTGAATTGAGAGAAAATATAAAAAATTGAAAGCAGTCTGTTTGTAATAAGTATTTGCTAAGTCTTACAGATCTTCTCTTTTTTTTGGAATTATTGCAACAAATATTTGACCTTTGATTTGTAGGATTAAAATGTGATTTCTCATATTTTAATAGGAGCAAGCATTAGTCCTGCAATTCTTTTTGTCAATAGAATAAAAATGGAATGTATGCTTGCTGCTTCTACATGCCGGTTGATACCCATGCTGAACACTTTTCTTACAACACAGAGGTTTCCTTGTTTTCTGTCTTGCGTTCTACCTTTGCTCACCACAGAGACATTAATGATGCCATGTGTCTTTTTGCACCATCAGTGCAGCAGCTTTCATTATGCTCCTTGTCTCGGTCCCACTGTAGTCTAATTAAATAAATGGAAACGGGTAGTCACTGAAAATAAACAGCAACTGCAAAAGTTTTGCCTCTTAAGAAACCTTCTGCATTGTATTCCGCCCTGCCTCATTGATTCTAAGATCTCTACCGCTTCCTTGTGTTCAGAAACCAGACTCTTCAGTTTGTCTTGCTTCAGTCAGACAAATGCTTTATAAAAATGACCTATATTTTTCAGACTGTGGGGAGAGAAGAAAAAGACTTTGAGAAAGTGACTAAGGAGGGAGTAAGAGTGATACAATCTTTGATTCAATTTAGTTGGACTGTGTTCTTTATGCCTTCATCTTTTTCTTTATAAAAAAGATAGCGTTTTTGATGCTCTGCTCCAGGCAGCCTCCCAGGGTGAGTGCAGATGTGCTGAGCCATTTGGCTGCCTTGAGGACCGGCTCAGAGAGCCTCTCTTCTCACTAATGAAGTCATCTCCTCTCGGCAGCCCGGCCTCTCCCATCACTCCATGTTGGAACTTGGCTTTGGCTTGCATAGTTCTGTCGTGATGTAGATGGTCTTTCAGTTAAGTTCTAGAGAAATCTGCTCAACCATGAACAGGACATTTACAGCACAGGAGAAAAAAAAATTTATTAAAACAAATATTTTACTGTAACATTTTGATTTGGGGGTTGGAGAGCAAAAACTCAATATCTGATGTCTGGGAAAAATCTAATGTTTTATGGCTTTCTAAGGAAATTTGTCTGTGTTTAATTTATCAGAGCAATTTATATACTTCGGGTTAAAGCACAATGAGATTGCCACCATCACTTTGCCTTTTGCAAGATTTCTTTTTTAAGAATAAAAAGAAGGCAATAAAGACCTTGTATTTCTGCCTTTCCTAGAAAGCCAAAGAGAATTCAAAGTGCTGGATGAAATGTCTGTCCCTAATTTGCAGTGTTTTATTTAAAAAAAAAATTATGACACAATCTTAGAGGATAGGCTTCCTTTTTCCAGGGTCTTTGAAAGTTAAAAGTACATTTTTAATCTGTAGCATTACTGTATCATCCAGTGAGGATAATTTGCTTAGTTGTGCCTAGGACCAGTCAGATCAAGGAGTTGAAACTAAGCTCTTTCTGAATTTGAATGGGACTGGAATCTTGTCATCCCTAGAGCAGCAATAGATGATGCCATGTCTAAGAACACTTCACCTGATCAATAAAAAAGGAGAAGTCTGAAATGTAATCCTAAAGAACCTCAGAAGGAGGTTTAGATGAAGATAATAAAATTCCCTGGAGACACATCTGCCATCTACACCTTTCCTCTCCAAGTCATTGGCTTGCTGCCCCTGAGCTCAGCCAAATTCCCAAAGACAAGATCAAAGCAAGGAAGCAAGGCACATAGCTTCTGGCTTATGGTTTCTTTTAGACACAAGCATTGTGAATGAAGATCTTGCTTTATTTATACCTGGGATCTTGGAGTTTTCACAAAGAATATCCCCAGTACAAGGATGTGATTTAAAGGGGGACTCACAGAATAATATTTTAATTACTGTTTGATTCATACTTGAGTGTAATGGACAAATAAATACAATTTTAGTTATAAAACCTGAAAAATATATATTTTCCCATTCAAAAACTTCTGATAGTTTTGTCAGGCATTGGAGAATCAGAAATAAATGCTCTCTCATTTTCTTTCTCTTGATGAAGGAAAGTCATTAAAAACAGTTACATAGAAATAATAATACAACTGTAGACTCTATTCTAAATATAGCTGGTATGTTTTCCTTTTTCTTTTTTATCCATTCTCCATTTTAGACAGCTAGAGGGGAAAGTCTGCCCTAGAGATAGAAAGAAGATATCCATGGGGTATAATTTCATTTTAGTTATCTGATAGCCTGAAGAAGTATTTAATTTTCTGAATAATAATGTTACAAGTCAAAGAAGAGAAAAGACAGGCAGTTTAAAGCTTTTCAACATTGTGCATATTCTAATTCCTTAAGTCAGCCCTGAGAAAGTGCCTTTGTCCTGTAGAAGTATTTGGTCAAGTGTTGTGAAGTCTATTGGCATTAAAAGAAACTAAAAATTTTGGAGGATTAGAGAATCAAATTTGGCAACATAAATGAAAACATCTCAGAATGTAAAAAGTATCTAACCCATCACTTTCAATCATGTTCCATTATATACAGATGGCATTATTTATAGTGAATGTTAACTATTAACATTTCCCTAAAAATGGGCATTAATCTGCTATTAGTTGCTTGTTTCTGATCTAGTTCTCCTTTGTTGAAAGGTTTTACTTAACTGTATCATAAAGGGACAAAAGGGTAAAAGATAATAAGCTTTTCAGACTGGCAGATCTGTCACTTACAAAATGGCCTTGGGCAGGTTACTTGAACTCTTTGAAACTCAACTAGATTTACTCAAATTTAAGAATGAGAATACAAATCCACATCTTGAAGTGTTTCACAGAAAGGTCTATCTTAATGTCTGGAGTATATATTTCAATGAACATTCATTTTATTTTATTTCTCTCCATTCCTGAATCAAGCAATCTTGAATCTAAAGTTGCTATGATTAGCACTGAAAAGACCACTGGACTATTAATTGTGTGACTTTGGGACAGTAACTTTCTGCACCTTAGTTTGTTTACATGTTATACATGAAGGTTGAAGTCTGATTCTGCTCTGTGACTATCATTCTAAACATCTGATGAAATCAAATTTCAGTGTTTGGAATGGTAGTACAATAAATTTACTAAGAATAAATAATTCACTGCAAAAACACATTGATTTCCAAATGATGTAACTGACAGTTATATTACTGCAGAGGGCTGATAAATAACAAAAGAAATGAAAGATGCACATGGTGAGAACTGAAATTATCCTGACAAGTCTTCTACCTGTTTATCACTTAAAATCAATGACCATGCTGAATGCCTACAAATTACAAAATATAAAAGAAATCTTATAAATGCGCATGTACAGGAGTCTAAGTTACTAAAAGTTTTAAAGCATAAGTTTAAACCAAACTAATCAAAGAAGTTGAGAGGAAAAATTGGCTTTCATCTTTAATCACTACTGTTTTGAGGTCCTATGTTTAATATAATTTTCTAAGTAGAGGCTTCAGAGAGAAGAGTTGTGAGGATACTTTCATATTTGTGTAGAAGGAAAAGTTTGCCATCCATTCTAGTATCCCTAGTGTTATACTGATGTGCACCTTGGATTTATTTTGTTCCTATTGTATAAACTCATACTTGACTTCAAAGAAAAGGAAAATCCAAAGTCCCTCTTTTCTAAGGGGACAGAAATCCTTTGTGTCAACTGTTTGACCCTTTTCTCTGTAAGGTCCTATTGGAAATCTTTTGTAACACAATGCAGGGGACTCTTCCATGTGTTGATGCTGTTTACACAGTGGGGTGGGCCTGACTGAAGAAAAAAAATCGCATATACGCATGAAAGATTATGGTCTTATTTCCGGAAAGCATGAAAGGTGATTGATACTTCCAAGAAGTCCCTGTTACTCAGGAAAATTATCAAATATTCTACTCAGAGATACTTGGAAAGACTGAAGGAAAGGAAGAACGAAGAAAGCAGAATCTAGACTTATGTGGGGAGAGATTTGTGGCAGAGGAAAAGTATTCTCTTTGAATCCGACAAGGGATTTGCCTGGGGGAATTTCCTGTCCAGCCTTTTATTACCAGGGTCTTTTGAAGCCGGGCTCCCCATTGGGCAGTTCCCTGGGAGTGCAGTGGGGAATTCTTACACTTTCCCTCTAGGTCCCCGAAGGATCTCGTTTTCTCAGTGTCTCTTTCAGGTTGGCAGGAGCCTTGAGCCTGACACTTCCCTTTGATGGGACAGGCAAGCTCTGTGGGCGCGTAAACACGCTGTAACCAAGTTCTTTGCTGATTTTACAGTTTTGTGTGCTCCCGAGAAGAAGTGATCGTACTCAATTGTCTATTGCTGGCCTGCCCCCTAAGAGCCTGGGGGCTCCTTTCCCCTAACCCAGAACTAGCTGCACGGGGGGCGGGGAAATGGGGGTGGGGAAGGAGTGGGAGGGCAGTGGTTTCCGCGAGCAGAGCGATGTTACTGAGTGAGTCCCTGAATGGGGAGCGCTGCTGTCCCCAAGCCGATTGGTACTTCTTGTCAGGAAGAAACGCCAAGAGGTGGGAGTGCCTGGGGAGGGAGGCAGGCGGTCCCTACCGCAGGCGCGGGGAGCTGCCTTTCCGCCCCTCCGCCTGCTTTCCAAGCCTGGACTCTTAGGAGTGGCTGAAGCTGCGGAGCGCTTTTGGAGCCTGTGAATGAACCCTCCTCCTCTCCCTCCTCCTTCTTCTCGCTGAGTCTCCTCCTCGGCTCTGACGGTACAGTGATATAATGATGATGGGTGTCACAACCCGCATTTGAACTTGCAGGCGAGCTGCCCCGAGCCTTTCTGGGGAAGAACTCCAGGCGTGCGGACGCAACAGCCGAGAACATTAGGTGTTGTGGACAGGAGCTGGGACCAAGATCTTCGGCCAGCCCCGCATCCTCCCGCATCTTCCAGCACCGTCCCGCACCCTCCGCATCCTTCCCCGGGCCACCACGCTTCCTATGTGACCCGCCTGGGCAACGCCGAACCCAGTCGCGCAGCGCTGCAGTGAATTTTCCCCCCAAACTGCAATAAGCCGCCTTCCAAGGTAATCACGTTTCTTTTGTTCCCCCCTTAAAAAACAAAAACAAAAAACTTATAGAAAAAAACCCGCGAGCTTAGAAAAAAGAAGCAATTGGTAGAAGGCTTTAATTAAGGCAAAGAGCTGTAAGGCGAAGTTAAGAAAATGTAGGCACTTAAAAAATGCAGGTAACTTTCATAAGGGCTTTTGGGGAGAGGCATACAGAGGGACCTTGGTGTTGAAAAAGATTCAGACAAAAGAAACCCAGGGTGGGGTGGGGGGTAAAATGACTAACGGAATTGGGGGAAGGGAGGGAATAAATTGTAAAGAAATCATAGAAAAGTGGTGGGTTCTTGAGCTGGAGAGAAGAGAGGGACCTTTGGCACTTTGATTTTTTTGTTGTTGTTGTTCTTAACACGCTCGAGGCAAAAGTTTGAATGGGGACTACCAAGACTTGCCACAGACAAGTCCCCGAAGCCGCCTTGGTGCAGGCCACCTGGTTTCCCAGCCCCTGGTGTGTGGTCAGTGCCTGGTGTTCCTGGAAAGCCACTCCCGGGCAGCTCCTGACAGTGCGACCCGGCGCCCAAGCAGCCTGGGACCTTGCGCGGACCTGACCCCTTCAGACCGCAGGCAGTCTGGGAGGAGGTCCGGCCGGGGGAGGTGCAGGATCCCCGCCGTGTCTCTTTGACGACTTGGGGACTGTCACGGTTCTCTCCCGGCGCCCCTGGGTTCTTTTGTCCTGCACGCGGTGCGAAGGGGCCAGCAGGGAAGGAGCAGAGGATGGGGGGTGGGGTTGTTGGAGCCCCGCGGAGGTCTGGGAGGCCCCTGGGCGGGAAAAGCCTGTTCTGAATCGGCAGGGATGTGCAACAATTTTTCTCACCCTGAAGAGTGAAATAGGGTCTGTCGCTCCCATCTCAACAAGCAAACCGGCACCCAGAGCGCACTGCAGACAAAGGTGGCTCGGGGACCCGAATCAGGGGCCTCTGGGTCAGTCCTCTCGCCCAGACTACAGGAGTCCTCCGTTTCCTTACATATTCCCCACCCTCTCCTAGTTCTCCGCTCTAGTTGAGCAACTTTACTGGCAGGTCTAGCGGCAGCGGCGCGCGCGTGTGCCGGGAGCCCCGGGGGACGTCCTCGGCTGGAGCGCCCCACCGTCCTGCAGAGGCGTGGGCGCTGTAGGGCGACATCCCTGGTGCGTGCAGACCTAGGGCATCCGGGTTGTTCTGGCCCGCGGTCTGTGTCACTGGGCGTGGAGCGGTCTGGGTGTTAGGCAGAGGAGAGCGGGGTAGAAAAATAGTGTCATAGCCTAAACTATTTGCTCTCCAATCCAACTGCGTCTCGGCAAGTCCTGCATGTCCCTGGGAGATGCTGCGGGAAGGGGGAGAAATCTACACGGCGCCTGGAGAGTTGTCCTGCCGCGCGCACACCCGCGGCAGAGTCTCTCTGGGTCGCGTTCCTCATCTTTGTGTCTCCCTCTGTCTCCATCTTCTCTGCCTCCCTTCCCCTCTCCCAGCCTCTGTTCTCTCTCTCTAGCTTCTGCGTCCCCTCCCCCACAGCTGACAAATGAATGGCTAGTGTGAAATCCCTGCCTTTCCCGTGCTCCAAGGCAGCAGGGAGGGAGGAGCGAGGGAGGCGGTGCGCTCCTTCGGATCTGCCCCCAGTTCAGCTCACAAGACTTGCAGAACCTAGATGTCTAGGAATTGGGAGTTTTGCGGCGGGTGTGGGCGCCCCCTGATGGAGAAGTCCCGCACAGGCGGAGAAAAACAAGCCCCCCAGACCAAGCGAGCATCTTTCACAACCTTGTGTTCAAGGATGGAAGGCCCTAGTTTTCCCTTAAGTCATTCATTTTGCACTCCACAATCTGCGGCGTACATCTAGGAGTTTGGAGGACCCTGAAAAAAGGTCTTGGTCTGTGCAAAGTGCAGAGATGCCTTCTCGCGAGTCGGCTGGAACGCACGCGGCGCCCTGGGTCCAGTTCGCCGCTTAGTGGACGAACGCACATGGCCAGGGTGGAGCCAGGTTTCGGAGGTCTAGACGCGCCACCCTGGGCGTCTTTAAGAAAGATAATACACATACCGTGCTCTCAAAACCCATGACCACTTGAACCCAACGCTAGGGCCCCGCCCCAGGATATTGCAAAAGAAGGGCTCCTAATCCAAAACTTAAACTTCCTCAACTTCAGGGCGGGCGTCGGACGGGAAAGTGGAGAGAAGGCGGGCAGTGGGAGGAAAAAAGAAAGGGAAGGAAGGGAAGTGGAAGGAAAGAGGACCGTGGAGGGGAGGAAAAGGAGAAAGGAACGGAGATGGGGCAGATGGCATTCAAACAGCCAGGAACGGACCGGAAGGGTTCGTTTCGGGGTTTGGGTCTGAATTTCGAGACTCGTTTTAGGATACTCTTTTCCCTTTCCCAGCGGCAACAAATGTGACTGCAGAGGCGTGCCGGGATGGAAGGGTGGGAAAGAACTAGACAAGCGGAGGTGGTCCAGCCCCGCCCAAAGGGGCTGGGTCTGGGGCCCGCCCCCACTCGCTCACCTCGCGCCAAGGGAGGACCCGCAACGGGCGCTCCCCGCAGCGGCTGGGTTAGCCAGCCGCCACGTGGGTTGGCGCTTCGGCTCCCAGCCGAGACGGGTGTGACTTCCTGGGCTCAGAGACTGCAGTACAGCCGCACAGGCGGCCGGCGCAGCCGAGGCCCCCACCCACCGAGGCCAATGGGGGCGGGGCGGGGAAGGCAGGGCCCAGCTTAACCGAGAGAGCCGAGTGGCCTCGCCCCCAGGATTCGGGGCCGGCTGCTTCTGGAGCTGACCCGAGTTCCATCCAGACAGCGCTGAACACTCTTATTAAAAGGCTATTTAAGTTTTATTTTATTTTATTTTATTTTTGCTTGCTTCTTGGGAGTGGTAGGAGGGGCATCGTGCTTTTGTTTTGAGGCAGGGGAGAGGTTAAAATTTACTCCAAGCAAACTTTTTGTCAGAAAAATGAGACTTTATACCGTATTCCATTTGTTGACTTTTTAAATACATTCAGGTCACTCTAAAGCCCATTCTTAGTCAATTAACAGATTAATTTCGTTCCAGACTGTCATAAAGAGTTCGCCTGGAATGGCAAATACTGCCATTCGACAAGACTAATAGAATTTCATGGGGGCAAACATGGAAGGGCTGCGAGTGTAACTGAGGTTCCTGTGCCTCAATGAGGAACCTTAGCGGGGACCTGGCGGGGACTGGAAGCTCAGCACCTATTTAGGGAGTGACTGAGCTGGAAACCTGGAGAAGCTTGGTGCAGACGAGACGGTGCTTCTTAGAGCTGCATTTTAAGTCCTCCCATTTTGCTGCATATTGGAAGAACTGGATTTTAAAGATCTTTTCCATCACCTCAGATTCTGTAGCTAACAGCCACGTCTTTTTCTTTTTGTCTGCTGAAAGCTGTGACCTAATTGTTTTAAGCACTTCTTGACAATTTCGCCAAACCCATCCTGAAAATATTCACATAAAGTCCTAAAATAGGATGTTGTGAGTGTAATATAAAAATAGGAAGGTACCAATGGAAGCAACAATTAGTGTTCTGAGATAGAAGCGGTTCCCAGTTTGTAACTTGGAAATGTTAAGAGCAGTACATCAGGGAGAAGGTCTCCAAGAGTCTGACTTCTTGTTCTGAGCTCTGAGTAAAGAAAGAAATATGTTAGAATTGTATTGTCTGCCCGCAGTAATATTGTAAAGGGTTCCAATGGATTCCAATGTGATTGAGCAATTACTTCCTCCAGCACCAAGTCCACAGTCCTTAATCTTCTTGTGAGAAGATTAGGTAGGAAGCGGGATGAGATTCAAGACAATCATTTAGGATTTATGTCAGAATTCAAAGTTTTGATTCTTTTGGTAGATAAAAACAGAGTTGGTTTTAAATTGTATTTCCTGCTTTCAAAAAAACGAGGTTTGAAAGGAATCCCCCTAGATTTACATAGGTTTACAGATGTAAGTTTCTTCTTTTTCCCTGTGTTTGCAAACTGGAGGGAGATGCCTTTGATATTCCAGAATACCTGTATCTATACACTTGTAAATTCTGCTAGGAAAGGACCTAAACAGCTAAACCAAAGGTGACCATGATTAATGTTAAAGATACTACCCATTGTTCTCTCTTTTGTTGTATTATTAGGCTTAAATACTTTGGAGTTAATGATTGGTCACTTAATTGAGTAACAGAGCCTTTGAGAGCGCAAAGATCAACTAACTCTGTCTCCCAAAGTCTGGCAACTAAGCCCTCCTTTCCTGGTGAGATTTAAACATTTTTGTTGACGTCATTCATGGACAAACATCGGTAAACACTGTATTTAAAATGGGATATTGCCCTGTGATGGAGCAGAACTTCTCAAGACACATGGTTCTTTTGAAAGAAAGAATTAATGACTGTAGTAAGGTATTTTTTCACCACCCACGTAGAGAAACCAGTTAGGACTGACAAACACTCATTGTTGGGAGTTACTTGCTCTGGTCTGAGAAAATATGCTGATTGTTACATAGGTCTGTATTTTACCAGAAAACACAAAGCATGTACTCTCCCTGATTTGGAATCAGAAAAGGGGGATTAGATATGGATGTCTTGGCCAAGCTCCATTTCAATTAGTGAATTTTTGCCAGTTTCCTCTTGTAGCCTAGACTTGGTAAATTACATATATATAAAGTCTGTGTGTGTGTGGGGGGTGCGTGTGTGTGTGTATGTATACAGGGTTTTTAAACACTGCTAAGTTCTTACCATTGAATGTGTTAGAGGTGGTTGTATTTCAGAGGTCAGTACAGAGAATCTTTGTTTAATGTGTCAGTTCTGTTTCCTGAAACACACCTCTGGGTAGATTTACCAACTATAAAAGGATACAAATGTATATACTTTCCACATCTGTATACATCCTACCTCATTCTTCTAAGGATTTTAAGAGGTGTTTATGTCTATAAAATGAGATTACATATTTTACAATAAACATATTTGATAAATTATAATCTTTTTATTATTAAATTATTGATTTGATATTACTTGAGGTATAGTGGAATGAGCACTAGACTTGGAATCAGAAAGTTTGAGTTGGACTCACTAGCTGAGAAAACCAAGCAAAGATATTACTTTTGGACCTTTAGTGTCATAATCTATTAAATGAATATGCAGTTATAAAGATCAAAAGAGTAAGTACTTTGAAAAACTATACAAAAAAGGGATGATAATATATTATGTCTTGGGATTCATATTGATCTAATTCTATAATTTTAATAATAACTGCATTACCCAAGCCATGTAGTTTCTACTGAATCTATAAAATAAATCAGAGAGGGGCATATTGTTTTAAAAATTGTTTAGTTTCATTAATCAGAAGACAGGTTACAGAAATTGACTCCAATGAAGTTGGACATTCAGTGGAAAGGAAGAATTATTCAATAAATGGTTTCAGGACAATTGATGGGTCCATGCAAAATAAGAATCAGTCTCTACCTGATTTCTCATCCTAAAAGAAATATAAGATGAATCAAATATGAAATGTAGGGAATAACTTTTTACAAAATGATAAAAGAAAATCATGGGATTAAAAAAAATAAGTTAGGAATAGAGAAACCTGTTCTAAGCAAAACATAAAACCCAGTGCCATTCTAGGAAATACTGATAGGTCTGACTAAGTAAAAATTACACAAAAGCAAATAATATATTTGGAAAACATCTACGACATTTGAGAGACAAAAAGCTAATAACTCTTGATATTCCATGGACTTTTATGAATAACTTTGAAAAGTCCACATCTATCAAAATATGAGCAAAAATTATGTACAGGTAGTGGCAGAAAGAGACATAGAGTTTTAAAATTATAGAAAAAATCGCTCAGCCTCATCTGTAATTAAATAAATAGTAATTAAAACACCAATGATATGCTACACCATTTTTTCACCAATCAGAGGAGTAACAAAAAAAAATAATTTTTTTCTTTTTTTTTTTTTTTGAGATGGAGTCTGTTACTCAGGTTGGAGTGCAGTGGCACGATCTCAGCTCACTGCAACCTCCGCCTTCCAGGTTCAAGCAATTCTCCTGTGTCAGCCTCCCTAGTAGCTGGGATTATGGGCACCCACCACCATGCTTGGCTAATTTTCGTGTTTTTAGTAGAGTGGGGTTTCACCATGTTGGCCATGGCAGTTGATCTTGAACTCCTGACCTCAAGTGATTCACCCACCTCAGCCTCCCAAAGTGCTGGGATTACAGGCATGAGCCACTGTGCCTGGCAAAAATAAAATTAAAAAGTTTGATGCAAGTTTGTGTTGGCCAGGTTGTGGAGAAACTGGGTCTCTCATATACTGTTGTATGAAAGTAAATAGGTTCCTCTACTTCAAAAAATAATTTGGCAATCACTTTTTTTTGATTCTTTATCAAAAGTTTTTAAAAGATGTATATACTCTTTGATTCAGCAATTCCACTTCTCGACATTATTATATGGATGGATATTGGTACCAATATCACCCAAGACAAATGGACAAGGATGTTCTTTGCAGCATTGCTTCTAAGAGCAAATATCTGGAAACAGTGTAAAGGCTCATCATAGGGAACCATTTAAATAAAAGTTGCTGTATCCACCTAATGGAAAACTATGCAGCTGTCAAAAATAACATGGAAAAATTGTATTTGCTGATTTGGAACATTCTCCAAAATATATTGTATTCTAAGTGAAAAAATTGATAGATAAAACTGAGTATATATTATACATCTAATTATGTAAAATGGGTGTATATTCATTCTTTTAACAAATATTTACTGAGTGTTCTAGGCATTGTGGATACAGGAGTGAACAAAACATCAAAGACTGCTCTGTTGGAACTTTTACTATGGTAGGTAGAGAAAGGCAATTCCCAATCACATATGCAAAATGGTGATATGTGCTAGGATGAAAATAGAGCATGGGAAAGGGAATAGAGTACAGTATGTCTTAGGTAGAGTAATGAGAAAGGAGTTCACCAGGCAGAGAACAGAGGAGTGCTAAGGGGCGACAATGTGAAAAAGCTTAGCCAAGTCCAGGTTCAGGAATTCACATGATGCTATTACTTGTATGAAGTAAATTCATGAAATTTCACACCTAAATCACGTGATTTCTCTCTGCTGTACAATGATTCTTTCTGTGAGAAAGAACCAGTGAGCAATATGATATGTGATGCTCATTACATCCACTTTGTAGCTGAAGTATCCTAGAAAGTTGGTTGTCTAGGGTACCTAATTAGCAGAATGGTGGACAAAACCACCGTGTCTCTGTCCTTAAGTCACCCCTTGTCAGCTGAGCTTCCCCAAAATCAAGGGAGAATACTAAATATCTATTTAATAGAATCTTGGCTTTCTCTCGGAGGCTGCCCATCCCTGGTGTGTCCCTTATCCTCCCTGCAGACATTTCTCATGGATAGGAGTTCCATTGACCTTGTCTTTTATGTCTCCCAGGCAATTAAACAGTCTCAGTACCCTGTACCTGGATTGTTCAATGACTTTCTTCCCTTCTCATTGACTTCACTGGAGTAGAAGGCTAAATATAGGCATTCACTCTCATATCTCTCAGGTCTTTCCATGCAGACAGAGTTGTTATCACTAGTAGACGGTGCTTATAAGAGAGACATGGAAAAGTGGAAGAATGGAAATAGGGATTTGGAGTGGTGCTAAAAACAAAGAAAGAGGCTTCTGAAAGCTTTCCATTTAATATGATCAAACATAGAAGACAAAAGATGTAACTTAATGACCAAGGATAGGGACATAGCCTTGAGAAAATTACAGAAGTGGAATGAACGTCTTGGACTCCAAAGAAGAGGGAATGGAAATGTAGTTCTGAGGCAGCTAAAGTCAATAAAGCCCTCTGATATATTTACTGTAGAAATAAATGATCATCTTTTAATTCAAGGTTTGCAAACTTAGGTGACTACAGGGGCGAGGCATGGAGTGGAAATGGGTAAGAGACTAAGTGGGGGCAGTAATGGCCTTGAGCACACAGACTTAAGGGGAGAGACTGCTGCTTGGTTAATGCTCATGATCAGCCAGCTGAAATATAGACTTAGTGTTGCTAGACCTTCTGATTTTTTGAAAGAAGTTAGAGATCTTATATTTAGTGTAAACAGTCTAATTTTTAAATTGAGTAACTTATTCAAACATATTTATGCAACTTATTCAAATGTATTTAGAGCATGTCTGATCTCCTCCTTGTATTCTTACCTAGTCTTAGGGGTAATCTTAAGGAAAGTGATGCGTATACTTGTTGTACCTATGTAGATGGAGGACCATTCTCCTCTCCCCAACAAAAGACACTTTTATAAGGATTGAGTGTGGCACAAAGAGTTCGATTTTTAGTATTTAAATTGAGTAGGAAACTCAAATACAGAAGATCCTTTCCTGGGTCACACCTTTGGTTTTTTTAAATGAGATTTGACTCTCTAGATATTGACAAACATCATATTATTGGGTCATGGTAAATCTTCAAGTGGACTGATTCAAAAGTGTTCAAAAGTATTTCAGGTGTTAAGGAATTGTTGGCACGGAGTTTCAAAGGTGTTTCTGCATAAGAAATAGAGGCGTTGATCATGTATTTGATCTACAAACATTCCTCAAGGATATACCCTGAACCTGGCAATGAAGAAATATTGTGGGAATTATTAAGTTGAATAAAGTACTAGCTCTGCCTTCCAGAAGCCTACTGTTCTACAGAGGAGATTAGACATGTTTACAGATAATTTGAAGTACATAGCAATAAATTATAGGATGATTTATTCCAAGCATAAAGTGTATATTGCTACTATAGTGGTAACCTAGGTTATAATTTTCAAATGTAAGAGCCCCAAATACTATTCTTTTTACTCTTAGTGATATGAAACTATGTTAGAACATCTGCAGAAAGTCTGAATTAGTAATTTTAATAATAAATATTGAGTACTGATATATTGTATATCACTGAGATTTATTTTATATACATTATTTTATCAATTCCTATGATCACTTCGGTAAGTACTAATTTTCACAACTAAGTAGTGACAGAAAATGAGGTTTAGAGAGATATAGTATTTTACCCAAAGTCACAGAATATAAGTAGAGAATGCAGAACTTGCATTCTGGGCTATTTGACAGTGGAGCCCAGACTTTTAAAATTAGGCTTATAAAGATTTCCTGGAAAAAAAGAAAAATAAAAAATAGAGAACAAATTTTCCTGAAGAAAAGTAGGAAATTATTATTTATAAGTATAATTAAAGAGAGATCTTTAATTTCTTTTTTTTTTTTTTTTTTGAGACGGAGTCTCGCTCTGTCGCCCAGGCGCAATCTCAGCTCACTGCAACCTCCACCTCCCGGGTTCATGCCATAAAGAAAGGTTTCTTATTTGGATTCAGCTAATACTCATGGAATGCATTTTCTTTAACACCTTTTTATCATAAAATACAATCTTTTACTTTGGCTGTGCAATTGATACCTTTATTTTTCCTTAAAATATTGTAATAGCATAGATATATGGTATATACTTCCTGCTTGCTGTGCTGTCTTATAAGAAATCCAGAAACATAGAAACATTATGGCATTTCCCAGTTAGTGTTTAACAAAGTCTATTAGCAGATCCTAGTGATTATAGGATAAATAACAAACTTAATTATCAGGGTTAATTTAGGATTATCAACCATATGTTTTTCATTGTGAATTATCAGTTGGTCTATAGATGGAAAATATAAGATGTATAATGTATTAGCTTAAAAAATGCTCTTCAGAGAGTGTCTAGAATTATAGAATTTAAAAATTTTGTTTTGAAAAGGTCTAATTCTTATTTCAAAATATATAAAGAAATCAAATGCAAAAAAATTAAGAGAAAAGGTCTTAATTAATTAAATGCTGTACAACTCCAAGCCCTATTTATGTTCAAGATCAGTTTTGTAATTTATGACTAATTTCAGCATTAGCTTGTTTTCAATCTAGGTTTGCTAAATAATATAGAATTTCTTTTCCAATGAAGTTTTTCAGGGTCCCAGCTGAAAAATATATACCAGTTAGGATGCTTTCAACTGTAAGGAACAAAAAGTCACGATTTTATTGGGTTTAAACAATAATGACATTTATAATCTCATATAAAATGAAGTTCAAAGGCATGGTCCACTCTAGGTCTAATCCTTAAGGACTTACGCCTTGCCTTTGCTGATTCTTTCTCAGCTTCATTTCCAGAGGTATCTCACTTACTCATGGATGCAAAATCCCTACAACAGTTCCAGCAGAAAGATTCCAGCATGATAATGTCCAGGGAAGAAAACTGACCACCTCTTCCTTTGTTCTCTTCTCAGGATGAATCTATCTTTCCCAGGGACCCTTCACTGGAGGAAGAGATCCCCTCACATCTCACTGGCCAAAACTATATTATATACTGTTCCAAATCCAATCATTGGAAAAGGGAATGGTACCTCTATAATTGACTTAGGATATCAAGATCATCCCTTGGGCTGGGGTTTGACCCAGGATTCTCCAAAGTATGTGACTGAGGGTAGGCACTAGAATGGAACCAGAGTTGTGTTAGAAAGGAGAAACGCATGGCTATTATAGAATAGTTCTAAATGCTACCGAGGAGGGCACAACTGTAAAAACCAAATAATCTTTTGCCATTCTTTTGAAGTTGGCACTTTGATTTCTAGATGGTTCCCCAACACAGGTTCTTCTCCTCCTCATCATTATAGCTGCCTTGAAATTTGAGCTGGAAGGGAACATTCTGAGACCCAGATTGTTAAATGTCTTTTCCAAAGTCATGCAATAAATTAAATGGCAAAGCCAGGGCAGTTTCTTGACTCAGTACAGGGTATTTTCTTTCATTCTTTACTCTTGAGACGTTAGAACTGTTGGTACTGCTTTAAAATTCATGGCAAGAACTGGTCACTTTTGTAATTAACACCTCCTTATAATACATTTGTTTTGTTTGCTTAGCCAGCTAGAAACTACATGGAGTCTGTGCTTTAAAAAGCCTGCCGAAGTCCTTATTCTCTGTTTTGGTATTATGTGCATGAACCACCAATTGGTTCCTTCTCACCTTACACTTGATGAAGATGTCTTTCTTTCAACATCTTTCTCTATTGCTCCCCATCTTCTCTTGCTCTATTTATGATCAGCTGTCTGTTTCTAAATAGACTTTGTGGTCACCCATTTCTTTTTGTGCCAGCTCCTATCCACTAGTTACTTGAACTGTGGTCTCTGTTGTTCTTCATACAGCCTACTCACTTGTGGTTGTCACACACATCCACATTGTTATATGTTCCCAAACTGTATTCTGGAATGATTTTGGTAATGGCTGCATTGGATGAGATTCAAACTAATAATTAAAGCATTGAGATAGCTTCTGCTATTACAAGTTTACTCCTGTTTTTATAGTCCAAGAGGAGCTACTTCTTCTACTCTTATTACTTAATGCTTAATACTACCCTTATTACATACAATGCACAAAAAGCATGTGATTTATGACCCACTTTAAACCTGAATGCTTGTGATTTACTTTGTGTTTTTCTTCATTTCTAGGCCAAGATGTTCATAAATATAAAGAGCATCTTATGGATGTGTTCAACCTTAATAGTAACCCATGCGCTACATAAAGGTGAGTGTGCTAACAATTTCTTTGGTGTTAATTGAAATAAAAATGTAAGTGCTGGAGGATGAAATGGCAATGTGGAATCACTGGAATAAAAGATTGATTTTTAAAATCTATTAAGTGCTGAAAACTATCAGTTAAAATATTATTGGACCAAAAACATTAGTTTTAAATAAATAAGTCAAAACAAAATAATAAGTAGGATGCTAAAGATGCAAGTGAGCTTTTAGTAACTTCCCTGATTACTTTCAGGCTTTGCAAAAAAGCTCATATATGGTATTGGGCATATTTTAAAATTCTAACACTATTTCTCAAAAACTTTCCTATGCAAAAAAAGAAACACTATTAAACACCCAGTGGGCTAGAATTTGAAAAGAATTGAGAAGATAAAGAGAAAGCTGACAGCCATGTTTTTGCCCTTAGTTCCTTTTCTTTTCTTTTTTAAAAAAGCAGTTGGATATGCATATGCCCTAGTTTTTTAATTTGAAATTTTATATTCTTCCAATGAGGGCTCTATAATTCCAAATTTATTATTTAATATATTCAAGGAATTTGAAGAAAGATGCTATCCAAGAGTTTCACTCATCTGCTTCTGTCTGTCTAGTGTACCTCTCCAGACTCAGATTCCATTTCTTCCTCACACTTATATTATGCATCAGACTCACCTTTTATGATTTTCCAGATGAATTCCTTTTGCTAAAGTTTAAGTCATCCATCTATTCATTACCCCTCCATCCATCCATCATCTATCTATTCATCCATCCATACCTCCAGCCATCCATTCATCTGTCCAAAATCTTTCCATCTGTTTGCTTATCAACATCTATCCGTGTATTCATCCATCCATCCATCCTTCCATCTGTCCAAAATCTTTCCATCTGTTTGCTTATCAACATCTATCCATGTATTCATCCATCCATCCATCCTTCCATCCATCCATCCATCCATCCATCCATCCATCCATCCATCCATTCATCCATCCATTTTTCCCACTCACCCATTCATCTGTTCACCCATTGATGATATTTTTTGAATACCTTCTTTGTGCCAGATATTATTCTGGGTGTCTGGGAATATACCCATGGATGACTCATAACTGGCCTATCGTTCTTTAAACTTACTTCTCTAGTTATGGGAGACCAGCAATAAACAAGTAAACAAACAATCCAGGTACTTTCAAATTGATGAACATAAAACAGAGTGACATCATAGAGAGTGGCTTGAGTTGGGGGAAGTTGATAAGACCTCCTTGAGAAAGTGAAATTTAAAGTGAGATGAGAATGATAATGAGGAACCAGCCAGCCAAGACCTGTCTGTAAGTTAGGAAGAAACATCGTGTGTTTGAATAGCAGAAAGGTCACTATAGTTGGAGAGCAGTGATCAAGGGGAAAGTAGGAGACATGAACAGAGAGATTAGCAGAAACCAGCTCATCTAAATAATAATAACACCCAAAACTTGAATAGAACTCCCTATGATCCAGGAACTGTTTTAAGTGCTTAACACTAACTCACTGAAACATCCATTACCCCTGTATTCTATTGAGGAAACTGTGGTACCAAGAGAGGCTAAGCAGCTTGCTCGAACGCCCATACCCAGTAAGAAGCAAAGCTTGGAGATGAACCAATTCATAGGAGTGTGTGCTCTTTACCACCATGTTATACTTCTTATCTACATGGAACACTGTAGGCTTTAAAAAGTCTAGAATTTTTACTCAGGAGGCTGAGACAGGAGAATTGTTTGAACCCGGGAGGTGGAGGTTGTGGTGAGCCGGGATTGCATCATTGCACTCTAGCCTGGGCAACAAGAGCTAAACTCCATGTCAAAAAAAAAAAAAAAAAGTCTAGATTTTATTCCAAGTGCAGTAGGAAGTATTGAAGGGTTTCAGCAAAGAAAGATATGAGTTGATGAATGTTTTGAAAATTCAGTTTTTGATAATCTATGCAGATTTGATTGTAGGAAAGCAAGGGTAGCAGCAGAGATATCATTTAGGAGGTTATTGTAGTAGCCTGTGCATGAAATGGGGTGGGGAGTAGTTTAGATCAGGTAGCAGTGGAGATGAAGAGAAGTGAATTGGATATGTGGAGATGGAGGAGTCAGTCCATCCACTGATGGATTGGATGGGGTGTGTAGTGAGGACATGAGAGGAGTCAAGAATAAATTGACTCCTGGGATGGCTCTCTTTCCCCTTTTCACCTCCAGATTCCCCTTTCTAACCAATTTAAAAGCTCCTCCTTGGGTGGGTGCAGTGGATCATGCCTGTAATCCCAGGACTTTGGGAGGCCAAGGTCGGAGGAGTGATTGAGCCCAGTAGTTCAAGACCAGTCTGGGCAACACAGTGAGACCCTATCTCTACAAACATTTTAAAAAATTAGCCGGGGGTGGTGGCTTGGGCCTGTAGTAGCTTGGGCCTGTAGTAGCCCAGTAGCTGGAACTCCACCTACTGGGAGGGCTGAGGCAGGAGAATTGTTGATCACAGGGGGTCGAGGCTGCAGTGAGTCATGATCGCACCACTGCACTCCAGCCTGGATGTCAAAGTGAGATCCTATCTCAATAACTGGTAAATAAATAAATAAATAAATTCCTCCTCCATGTTCCCCTTGTCCCCTGTGCTGTTGCAGATATAATAACATCTTCCATGCTCTTGGGATAAGTTATTGTTTTTCTTCCCAAGTAGGCTACTATAAGCTGCAAAAAGGCCTTTCATCTTCTAGCAAAGTGCCTGACACACTGACAGCACTTAGTCATTTTGTGTGTTGACTAAATGAGTGAATAAATAAATAAATGCCACAGTGGACCACCTGGATAGTTTTTAGAGTCTAGGTTCCACCAATTGGATCATGAAGACATGCTAATCAGATGGTGAAGCCTAGGAGCTGTCTTCCTCAAAGTTTTTGGGAGGTGAAGGTGAAGGTCACAGAGAGGAAAGGACAACAGCAACCAGTGAAGATGGAGAAAGGGATATGAAAAGGGGAGTGGTATTTGGATGGGCTGTATTGGAAGGGAATTTACAGGGAAAGTAGTAGGCGACCATCCTTCAGCTGAAATTTAGACTTTCCACTTAAAGAAAGAACTCATGCAATGAAAAACAACTTGTGTTGTACCTCCTTTACAGTATTTACAACAATAATTTTGATAGCCAACAACATTGAGTAATTTCTGCATGTCTTTACCTATTCTTTGTAAATCCATGATCACTATTATTAGATGTAATTAGTTTGGGGCTAATTTCAGGAGAATTTTTTTATATCAGAGGTGAAAGTTACAAATATACGATCCACATAAAACAGATTTTCTGGATTTATAGTGGAAAACACAGTAGTAACTTGTTGAGTCAAGACAAGTACTTTCATCTTAAGGTTTTTTTCTGTTTATTCCCAGTCACTGATGAGGTCAACGACTAACATAAATGAACACCTTGTCTATTGTTATGGGCTTTATTTTAACCCAAGAAGAACTATTTCCTTTAACAATACACATTATATTATCTTACAAACTGTCCTAATCGTTGATTATCTACCATTGGCCTAGTTATTTTGATGTTCCCCTTATAGTAGGAAAAGGAGTCATGCACAGTCGTGAATAAGTGAATGAACTAGATAGTGATATTTGTCACTTGAAAGAGTGATAAATTCCCATATTCTCAATTTGACATTTATTTGGCCAAGGTCTGTGTGTGTGTGTTTGCTCAAATTGTGCAGATGGAATTTACATCATCTTTACTCTAAGGAATCTGCTGACAGAGAATGAGGGGTAATTGGTTATTCATTATTTAGTGATTTCTCCCTCACTGTACTCATTTGGACCACAAACCATCTGGTAACAGCCAATGTTTTGTTAGGATTCATTTTTATTACTTGAATTGTCAGCATTTCAGACAAATTCCTGTAGGTAGCAGATTTCTTTTAAACATGCATACTCTGTAAACATTATACTCTGAACTACTGAATTTCTTTCTTAAAATATTTAGATTTAGTGAATTTCGTTTTTGTGACCCAGTGCATTAAGACCGAAGATTTAATACACAAAAGATTTGACCACACAGCTTTTTGTTAATCTTGTTAAGTTTGTATTCACATCAATATATTATTTATATCCAACCAAAGCTTTTAATTTTCTTATATATATAAACATCTAGAACAGTAAACAACCCTTGGGAAATTGCTTTTTAAAGTTATTTTTTTCCAACATACCTTTTCTTTACAGCACAGCTGTTTAGCAATGCTCTATGTTTCAGAAACCTCCCTATTGGATAGATTGGGTTGAATCTCATGTCTGTCCCTATATACTTCAAATTGTGAAGAGAAATATAATTTGTAAGAAATATTGAAGAATTGGAAGACATATATTTTAAACTAATTTTAAAAGACATGATAAAGAGTTTCAAAATTCATACCAGAATTAAAGTTGATGATAAAGCTGTTTATTTTTGCATTTGAAAATAGTACTTTATTTGTGGCAAAGTTAGTCATCTAAATAATTCTTCAGGAAGGAAGATGAGATTTTCTGGAACATATGATGAATATAAATTTGGAGATTTTTAGAGCACAAAATTCTCACCCTTTCTCTTCTCAGAACAATATCTTTGTGTTATCATCATCTCCCTAATTAGGTCCAAATTAAAGGAATGTGAAATAGGTAGAAGGTACTTTCAGAGAGTCCTCTGTGAACCTTACGGATTTATTAAAAAGATCATGAAATTACTAAAATATTTCAGTTCAGATAGTAATTAAATACTTATAGAAATAGGATGCATCTAGACTTTGAAAAGGAACTGAAAAGAACACTTCTTTTACTTCATTTAGGGGCAGAGGAAGCACACCAGAGCTAAAAGATTCCTTGATTAGGTGTCAGGAGACATGTGTTCTGACTCAGGTCTCTCACCAGCCATCTGGGAGCTTATCCTTCCTCTCAGTGGAGGATCCTTTGTAAGGAATTCGACCAGTTTTACTTTAAGGTTGAGCTAAGTTAGAGAATTTACTTTGTAAGCCAAGGAGGCCATTAAAAGTGGAATTATTCCCTTGCAATTTTATTCCAAAATGATAATAGTCTTAGCAATATTTCAAAGGATAATTTAGTATAGCTAATAGCACACTTCACTTTGTTTTTATTTAATTTCATTAAGTGCCTTAAGTCTGCTTTGGATAAGCTACATGTAGATTAATAAAATAATAAACAAATGCATAACAGCAATGGTTATTATACATTTGAAATAAATTAGTGATTTATATTGTAAGTACATTAAATATGATACTATATTAATTATTTTGGATTTATTTGCATCACATGAAATGTTTTATAGGCCAATCTCTTTTTAGGTTAAAATTTTAATCTTTAGCAAGACAGTATTTTTTTCTTAAAGGATATATCTCCATAGTATCTTCTTGCAATTTTCAAAATGCTTTTCTCCAACTGTGTTTACATTGAGAATCCACAGTGTTTACATTGAGAGTGATATCATTTCCAATGCATGCCCATGTTGAGATGTGTGTTTCCAATATGTTTGACCACTAGCAGAGTGTTAGATATACATCATTTTGTTGGTTAAAAAATCATTATTTCATTTCACCTAGAGGCTACTATTAACTTGTTGACCATATTTTCATGAAGTAAGCATTGTTTGTGCATTATCAACAACTTCCATTATTACTAACATATTGTCTAGCCTAATTAATAGAGGCTGGAAGATAGAGAGGAGAGTGGGAGAGAAAGGGATGGATTCCTCTAAGAGTGAAAAAACATTTATTTTGCAGGTAATGGTGTTAAACTGTAGTCAATATATTCTTTATCATTAAAAGTTTAAAAGTTTAAACAGAAGGACATTCTGCAGATAAATATTTTAGGACGGTTAGGTGAACAGAAACCAACCTTTCCCCATTATATAATTGAAGGTAATGTCTCACTGCAAAGTGATGGTAGCTGGATTTGTTATAATTATGAAAGCCTTTGGTTCCAACACAGGACCAAAGTGCATCCTTCAAATGTTAGGCTTTCCCTGGTTCCAGTCCTATGAAGCACTTTTTTATTTTCACTTCATCTTTGAATTTTGTTTTCATTTCCTCTAAGGTAATGTGGCAGTTATTGTAACAAACATTTTTTGTCTTTCGACCTGTAGACATAATTTTCATCTTTCAGCTGCTCTTCCTAATGTTGGTCCAGTCCTTTAAACCTGCCCTACGGATTCTAGTCTGCCCTTCTTTGCCCTTAATTGCTTGACCTCTTATGCTTGCCTTTTTTTTTTTTATCACTTATTTTGTTCATGTTAAACACTAAGTTAAAAAATTTTAAAATGAATGATGCCACATTTCTATATAAAGAAATGAGCATTATTAATCCCTGTTGTTGTAAAACATCATTGAAATTGTATGCTATTCTCTTTATATAAAGTCATTCTAATTATGTCACATGTTGAAGATGTAACCAAACTATTATAAAGGCTGCTTATCCATTCACATATTGAATAGATTAAGTTTGGGTTTTTTAAGATTGTTAATTTGTTATTTTCTCTTTCCTCTAGTCAAAGTGGGAAAAAGCCCACCGGTGAGGGGCTCCCTCTCTGGAAAAGTCAGCCTACCTTGTCATTTTTCAACGATGCCTACTTTGCCACCCAGTTACAACACCAGTGAATTTCTCCGCATCAAATGGTCTAAGATTGAAGTGGACAAAAATGGAAAAGATTTGAAAGAGACTACTGTCCTTGTGGCCCAAAATGGAAATATCAAGATTGGTCAGGACTACAAAGGGAGAGTGTCTGTGCCCACACATCCCGAGGCTGTGGGCGATGCCTCCCTCACTGTGGTCAAGCTGCTGGCAAGTGATGCGGGTCTTTACCGCTGTGACGTCATGTACGGGATTGAAGACACACAAGACACGGTGTCACTGACTGTGGATGGTAAGGCTTTTATTATCTGCAAGAAGGTAGTATAACATGACACCTGGTTCAGAAGCATTGAGAAATAGCACTCAGAAGTAACTGTTGTTTGGGGTTTGGATGAGCGGAAAAACACCTGTCAATCCAGTAGTCCACGTCTTTCACCAAAAATGAACTGGTACTCATTCAAAAGTCAAGGCAGGTGCATTTTTGGCAGCCACTTCATTGATTCCATGAAGGAAAGTATTGTATACTGAAAATAACGAATACCTCAAGGCATGACACATAATTTAATAATCATTACTTCAGTGTTGAGTCTTATCAGTGATTCTTTTTCAAGACTCTGAAGGCGAATCTACATTTTAAAAATTATTACATATGTGTGTATGCACATGTACATACATATACACACATATATACACATATACACATGAAAAACCTTTCCCCCTTTTTTCTCTCTTAATATGATTATTAAAATATTTGAGTTTGCTTTTAGGAAATTCTATCTTAACTTATACCGAAGAAATAAGGTATTTAATAAAAACCATGGTACATATCAGAGTCTTAAAAAGGCCAAGACTTAATAAATATTTGAATTCGATCAAACAGAAATTTAGTATATTTTTTAAGATTAATATCCTAGTTGTTATCCGTTAAGTATTGCAGTGAGACATTTTAGTTTCACCCTCTTTTCAGGGGTGGTTTATATGTCATTTGAATTTAAGTTAGGAGACAAAGCAAAGAAAAATTGCTTTAATTGGGTACACACATAATGCCATAGCCCTTGGAAGCGTAATATTTTGGCAAGTTATTAAGCAAAATTCTAATACCCAGACATGATGGAACAGATTTTCTTCCAATCCTCCATTTCCCTATAAAATATTTACCTTTCAGAAATATATACAAAGGGTTTTATTAAAAGTCTTTCTTGTGTAGCCAAAAGGAAATACTTTGAATTTCAGATGCAACACATTAACTTTCTGATACCCTTTTATATTCAAATTCCATTGCTTCCTTCTATAAATCTATTTTTATGTTGTCTAGGCATCCACTAAGTATCCTGGGTTCTTCTAACCTTTTTATCATTATTTTTGTTAGCCTCACTACTGTGATTTCTCTCTCTCTCTCTCTCTTCTGTTTACGTATCACTTTTTAAAATCCCCAAAGGAGTTTAACAACTTCTTACCATTTTTCATCATTAAAGAATTAGCAATGGATTTGCCCCTTGCCCCTCTGAAACAATGAAAATCCTCCACTTAATCTCCTTAGCTCCATGGGGTCTTCAAATTATTCCAGCAACTGCAGATACTTATACAGATTGAAGTTCCCTGCCTTGGTCGAGGAGGCCTCTTTGTGCCCCTTTACTGCCAATCTTCAGTGCACATGGAAGATTTTTAATTACCAAGAAGACTATTTGAAGCTTTGATCAACATTAAACTAATCTAAATCTATTCAAATTCTTGCTTAAGCCTTAGAGATCATTTTAAGCTATCTCTTATATTCACCAGATAGCACCATATATATTTTCTGGCAATTTTAGAGAGGTTCTATAAAGGTACAAATTGGCGTTTGATTTTTTTTTTTGGCAAAATCTCCTATTTGAGTCATAAAATATCAGAAATGAGAAAATGAATGCCAGTTGTCATTGCATCTACTTAGTGCCCGTGCAGGTCTTTTTGCGTTGGCACTGATCTGAGGCACTTATCTATGAGATGGGTAGTCTTTTCCCCTGTAGTCATATTACTACAGTAATATAACTCTGGAAGACAGAGATGATCTAAGGATGAACACATGGGAGACAGTCTTATAACTAGAAGTCAGGCTGCAGAAGATAAACTGTTGTCCATCCCAGGAAATTACTAGGGATAAGAAGAGTGGCACGTATCTTGGAAACCACAGTTTATCCCAAATAACAACAACAACAAAGTGTTCTTAAATGGGATGACTCTTAATAAAATCTCATTCATAAGACCCAGTTGCCTCAATTTCTATTTTTCAGTGACTTCTCTGGCATATTAGTTCAATCCACTTTGATGTCTTGCAGAAATGAGTCATCATATTTACCCCAGCTAAAAATGGAGAGACTCTTGTTGACATGGCAAGAGAGGATCCAGAGCTCCACCCCCTTGCTTGCTCTATCCTTATCCCTTTGAAAATTTCTTGAGCCCTGGAGCACAGTTCAAAACCACTAGTTTATACCACCCCTAAAATACAACAAAGTGGAATTTGAGGCAAGTATCAGGAGCTTCTACTAGGAAGAATTTGAGAATTTATTTCAGGCTTTCTTTGGATAAAAATTATACATGTTATCTGTCATAGCAGAGACCCTACGTTATGCTGGTCAGGTAAAGAATATGATAAACATTTGAATGGTACATGGTGGTCTACTCAACATTTTAAAATCCTTTACCTAATTTGACCTTCACACCAATCAAGTAACATACATATTTTTAGTTCCACCTTATGGGACAGGAAATTAAAGCTCAGAGAAACTGACTTGTATAAAAGTAAGGAGTAAATTAGGGATTGGAACAAGTCTTCTCACTCATAAATAGTCCAGTGTCTTTTCCACTCTAGTACATTGTCTCTGAAGGTAAATATCTCATTGTTTTACATTTGGAAGAAGTGGTGTTAGTGAATATTTTTATGAGACAGGTGAGTGTTTCATGCATAAATATTGGGTTGACCCCGGATAAAGTCCTGAAGTAGAAGTTGATCTTGTGGTCCCCTTAGGTCTTTGTATCTTCTGCAGAATCTACTCCCTTTAGGTATCTGGTGTTCCCATGATTGCGTGAATACTGCCTGCAATCAGGACAACTATTGGGATTCAGTGACTTAAATCTCTTCCTTGATCTAGGAGATCCCCTAGGAAATTTTCTGGTGGAGCAGAATGGGATGTCTAGATGAATGGCATTTTTGGAGCCCCTCAAATCAACATGATTTTGCATAATGCTGCATGAAGTAAAAGTAAATAATTATTATGATATTATTACTATGTATCCAACTAAGTTGATACATTGCTCCAATGAGAAATTTTGCACAGTGCAGTGGGAGATTTGAACAGGCTGGCAATTGTTTGCTGTTGTTTTTGCAGGGGTTGTGTTTCACTACAGGGCGGCAACCAGCAGGTACACACTGAATTTTGAGGCTGCTCAGAAGGCTTGTTTGGACGTTGGGGCAGTCATAGCAACTCCAGAGCAGCTCTTTGCTGCCTATGAAGATGGATTTGAGCAGTGTGACGCAGGCTGGCTGGCTGATCAGACTGTCAGGTAAGAGGTCTGGGGGCCACAGGCTTCATTATTAACTTGAGAGTGAGAAGAAAGTGCCACTAACTAGCCATTTATTTCCCCAGATATCCCATCCGGGCTCCCAGAGTAGGCTGTTATGGAGATAAGATGGGAAAGGCAGGAGTCAGGACTTATGGATTCCGTTCTCCCCAGGAAACTTACGATGTGTATTGTTATGTGGATCATCTGGATGGTAAGATGTTTGAGTTTCTATATCTTCGTATGAACTGAGAAAACTGAGGGAAGACCAGAAGTTCATTGGAATAGAGCAAGTCTTCGTGCTTGTTTGGATTCCAAACGGTGGCATTTTGTTTATACGACTGTATGATTTTGTGGTAAAATAAGCCGAAATTAAAGTGGAAAGGCAAGGAGGAGTGTGTAAATGGTTATGCAGGTTAGAAATGTCTTCAGTTAATGGCAGGTTTTCTTACAGTCATGCTGCTCTTGGACTGTTTCCAATACACTTTTAGATCATTGAGAATAGAAAGCTGTAAGGGTGGTACCTATTCTGGTGAGAGCATAAGATAAAAATCATGTGATGACAATCCACTGTGAATCCAAGTACTGATAAACACCCCAGAGCTAACTAAATAACTCCATAAACTAGCCCAGCAGGAATTTTCAAGTTTGACTTCCTGTTTATTTTGTTACACTAATATTCAGAGCAATCCTTCCTTCATTCAACCAGTCAATACGTTAAACCAGTTAACACATTAAAAATCACCTACTGTGATTTTTGTAGGTACTCTGCTGGTTGTTAGAGATATGAAATCAGTTAAGATATAGCCCTTCCTTTCAAGTCGCTTACAGTCTGATTTCAGCACTGTCATTTCTCCTTTGCCTGAGTTAGAGATTCTTAAAGACAAATTTGAGTTCAATAGTACCGACATTATCTAAAGAGCATGGTGCAGCTTTATTATAAAGGCACAGGGAGGTGGGCACAGTGGCTCACGCCTGTAGTCCCAGCACTTTGGGAGAGCTAGGTGGGAAGATAGCTTCAGTTCAGGAGTTTGAGACCAGCCTGGGTAACGTGGTGAAACCATGTCTCTACATAATGCCAAAACTTAGCTAGGTGTTGTGGCATATGCCTGTAGTCACAGTTACTTAGGAAGTGAGAGAAGTGTGGGGGTGGGGGGTCCTGAGGTGGGAGGATTACATGAGCCAGGGTGTGGAGGCTGTAGCGAGCTGAGGAGATTGCGCCACAGCACTCCAGCCTAGGTGACAGAGTGAGATCTTGTCTCAACAAATACATAAATATAAGTAAAATAAAGGCACATGGAATAGAAGTTTCTACAACTTTTGAAATGGATTTTCATTTGTATTAACAGCTATTATTAGAATCCTAAAGTATAGATAATAGTGTTAAATTAAATTATACTTTTAATTTTGAGTAGGTGCATATAAAAAGAATGATCTGAATTTTCTTATGTTTAAAATGAGGAGGCTGGACTAGATAATTTCTATGGTCTCTTTCAACATTAAAATTCTGTGATTCCCTGATTCTGTGAATTGAATAAGCAATCTTAGAGCCCGAAAGCTAGAATATAAGCAGCTTATATTTTCCTAATGCCTTGACTAAATTTGCATCGGAAGGCCTGCTTTCAAAAAGGGTGCTTAGGTGTGGTTCTCTAGTATCTTAGCATTCTTATTTTCACTATCACTGAAGATTGCCAGATGTATTTTCTAAACCAAAAGTGCAGATGTGAGCAAATTTTATTTTTGTATATAGGAAAAGGGAAAACATAACATCCAAGCTATGGTTGAAATACATAAAACTAGAGCTTTTCTCTTGCCTTTATTTTAATTGATTTAAAAAATAGAAGAGGAGATGGTTGGTAGGAGAATCTGATTAAATAAACTAGGAAATAAATTGGATTATTGCTATTTTGGTAAGGTGGGAATTTGTATCACTATTGTTTTAATTTAGTGTAATATCTACAAGGGTGATAGTTATAAACAATATCTGAAATGCTAGTAATACTAGAAATGATCCAGAGGTAGCTTTTGCAAAAGTATATGTAAGATCTAATTAACCTAAAAGATCTTTACCAAATATTATTTAAATGGTGGGCTTTCGTGATTCAAATATGAATAAGCATCCCAAGCCAGATTCCTTGGTGGAAAGACAGGCTTATGTACCCATGAAGCCACCAGCCAGAGAGCCCTAGAGACCCCCCGTGTGTTTGTTTTTGAGTTTACTCTGATAGAGCTACTATCAGCTCTTAGCTCTCTAAGGCTCTAGACTGCCCAAATTCAAAATTATTTTTTCAAGCCCAGGGAGGGATTTTATAGAAGTCCCAGAAATTTCAGGGCCTCTGCAAGTACTGTTTGAAGAATTTTTGACAAGTCTTAGTGGTGGGAGTCCTTCCAGGGATTTCCTAGCCACACTGTCTTCATTGAACGATGGCTCCCCACAGTCTGCTCATAGTATCATAACCAGTGTTCAGGAACTGGACTCTGTCAGAAGAGGAGCTCTGAGGATGTATGCATATCTCCCATGACGAGGGATTTACTAGTCTTATAGACGTCCTCTCCCACTTCCATAAACACAATCACTTCTAAAGAAGCCAGTTTGTGTCCCAATGTAACCCAACTGTATTTTATAAAGTTATTTTGGATAAATCTACATACTTGGTGACTGAAAACTTGTAATGTGGAATATAGCATAACTTTACTTAGGCTCTTTATACCAAATCAACAGAATTTTCATCTTTTTGTTTTAATATGTAAAAATTGGAAGAGAAATATAAAAGAGTCAGTTCAAATATTAATTCAAGCACTGGCTGAAATCAGTGTCAGCAAAGTAACAAGGCATTTATTTGTTTCATAGAAGAAACTTGACAATTCTGGAGGATATTCAGCATGTTTACAATAACACTGTTCCTGACATTTTTTTCCTCCTTGTTTATTGGCTCTTGGACTAAGTATCAAATCTTTGGACACTGTTCTTTTCTTTCTTGGCTTGAAAGTGAGCAGGAATGGGGGTGAAAGGTAACTTTTATGGCTGATGAGGTAAGAGGAAGATCACAAAATCATTCTTGTAAGGCTTCTCTCATTTCTTAACTGAAGTATATGTCTTCCCTTTTGAAGTACAGACCATGGCTAATGAGTGAATTAATAAAAAATTCTTGTGGAAAGTTGACTACATAAAATTACGTCTGGTATTTCAATTGTCACGTTGATAAAAGATTATTTGAAGGTGAGTCAAGATTCCTTGTAAGAGGCATTGCTAAATTCATGAGTCAAATAATTCCCACCTATATTTTATTATATTTGGGGGAGTCAAGTGTGTGTGTATGAGAAATGGTGGGGACAGTAAAAGATTTGGTATATTCAGAATGCATGTGATGGAACACACACATAGGAGTTATGAACCAAGGTGCAATTAATTTAGATCAGAAGCCATATATTCCAGATGGTCTGATGAAAAAGCCAATTAAGTATAAAATGAAAACTTGCTCAAAAAGGCAATTAATTTTCCGTTTTAATTTAATTATTTATTGTGAAAGATATATAGTTGACAGTATGTTGACCTGTTTTTTTCTCCTTTCTTGTTTTATAATGTCATATCTTCCTGACATATGTGTTTCTCTATAAAATTTGAATAATTGCACTAAATTAAATCCTGCTAGTTTTGGGAGAAAAATCTAGTAGGGTTCTTTTTCTAAGGTGGTGATTATAACAGTTATGCATATTCAATGAATATTCAATTCTGCTTTTCAAAATAACCTATTAAGTTTTAAAGAGTAATTACATTAGCTATATTCACTAGTAAACATTTCAATATCAGCTCGTGTTCTTAGAAATGGTCTGGAAATTATGATGGCTTATTAGAGATGATTCAATCAGTAATAGAATGCTATTATTAAGAAATTAATGGAATTAAAATTTTAAAATGGGAATCTAGAAATTAAGATCCACAAAATAATCCTTATTAGGAATTTTAATCTTTGTTTCCCAGTAAGACAGATTTGGAAAACATTGGGAGGGTTTTAAGGTAGAGTTGAGATGATTAAATGGCTCAAGAAATTAGGTAAAGGATCGGAATTATTTAAGAACGAAATTAATAGACTGACTATTTATTTGGTTTCCTGATGGTAGCAGATACTTTAAAAAATAAGTTTCTTTTTTAGGCATTTAATTTATCCTGCAGATAAATTGGAGGATTGCAGATGAGGTCCTATTACCTTCTTTCATTGTTGACCCACTTAGTTTCCTTGCAAATGAGTCAATACTTCCAGTCTTGTCCCCAGACCTGACAAATGGTTGGTTCAGGAGCTTCTCTCCCCTGTGACATAGGCCTATCCTCTTATGGCCTGCATTTTCTATGTAGCCCTGCCTTTTGGTATTTACTTCACCTGGGTTAACTACTACCCTACTATTCCAATTCTCTGTTTTTTTACACAAGCTTCCAGCACTTTGACAGGCCTATACTGTGGGCACTCTCTTTCATCTCATATTCCCTCCTGAAGACCTAGGTGATTCTTCTCATCTTTACCATCTCTGAACCTTGAATGTATGACTATAATTACCCTCTTGCAAATATTTGCTTATACTTCTTTCTCTCCTACTAAACTATGGATTGGGGGAAAGAAGGAAACATACAAATTCATTTTTGTATGCCCAATATGTCCTTAGCATATAGTAGGTGCTCCATAGGTAGAGCTGAATAAATGAGTGAATTAATGAATTAACTTCTAAACCATTAATGCCTCCCTACTCACCTTGATTTACAATTGCTTTCTGGATAGTTTCACACTTCTCCAGGATCCATCAGTATACTATCTGCTTCCTGATTTTTTTATTGCTTTAATTTTCTTATTAGTTTGTTTAATTTCATTTTTGTTCTCTTGTACATAACTTGTAAGCCAAAAGTCTTGTGGGACATATGGGGCATGAAAGAATACCAAAAGAACAAATACGTGAACAATGAAGATGTTAATTTCTAGTTTTGCATGTTTAGCTCCTGAATTCTTTTCTGAATTTCATACCCATATTTCTAGTTTGTGAATCACTTTTGAGTTTCATTTTTGGTTTTGGTTGTCACAAATAGTCCCCATCACTTTAAGAGTCCTTCAGGGGATCTGTTTTACTACCATCAAAACAGTTAAACACCATTGCCATGTAATTCTCCTACTTAACGTTGTGTGTTGGTTTTGTTGGCTTCTTCCACAAGCACATACTCTGCCTGGTCTTCAAAACCTATACCTGCTCTACTGCAATCTATTCACCCTTCATTCCCACACTCTTCAATGTGACCCCACACACGTGCATCTCGCCCTGCACAGACCCTTTGCTTGCTCCTGCTTGCAAGTCTGCTCTGTTCCTCTCAGGGAACACACACCCTTCATCTCTTCAACATTGTGATTTTGCCTGTGCTTGAAGACTTACTGCTTCCAGGATCCCCCTTTTGGCTATTGCAGCTCACACTGAAATTTCTTGACTCTGAACTTCTACTTTACTTAGAGTTAGTTCCATGTGATTTATTGCTTAATTGTTTTCTGGTTTCTTTGTGTTCATAAAATATAAAATGTTATATGTTTGTTTTATTTCAGCAAAATTATTGTAAGCTCCTAGTAGAGATAAGACCATAAACTTCTATATGTTTCCCAACTGCAATCAAGAGCCTGTTCCAATTGCAGACACGTAATAGTTATCCAATAAATAGTTGGTGGTAATTATAGTATTTTTCCAACCTTTGTCTCTTCTGGAAACTGCCTTCCACCACCACCTTTCCATTTATCTATAACACTTGAAAAAATGCTTTGCTTTATTTACCAAATTCAAAAAGATCTACTTTTTACCATTATTTAATCACCATGATACTATTTTTTCCTCTTTGTATTTCTCCTCTCACTCTTTTCTCCTCTCACTCTTTTCTTTGATGTCTCTTAGAAATTACTCCTTCCCAGAGATACTCCTTTCTGGCCTCTCATGGTAAATTATTTTCCTTGCCTTCCACTCCTTCCCAGCAAATTGTCCTCTCTGGGATTGCTTTTCTTGTATTAATACCTATTCATCAATTATAGGTTATTATTTTTACTGTTTCTTGGTGTCAGAGTCCAGGATGGCTTTGTCACCTCTGTGACTTATCTAATGCCTCCATATCATTCTTGTGCCTCACCTAGAACCAAAAACAACTTTTCCATTTTTGTTACTTTATGAGCTCCTTTAGATATGAAAATCTAAACATTTAGATAAACATCATCAAGTAGGTCTTAGAGCAGGGTTAGTTCTAGCTTTTTAAAGGTTTTGGTTGGACCAAAATCAGATATCGCATCTGGAGATTGTGTAATTTCTTTCCTATAGATTCTCAGATTGCCTATTAATTTTAATGAGATTTACAGTATGTAATCTACAGAATACTTCACTGATGAAGGTTATTTAAGAATTAGTGATTTGCGTCCTTACTGGGCTTATTCAGTTAAAAAGCCACATATCAGCTTGAAGAGCCTCTTGCACACTATGATTCCGCCGATGGTTAAAGTAGTGATTCTTGATTTCAGAATCTCTTCACATTTGTTGCAGTTGGCCCTAGAAGATGCTAAAAACTTTTTAATTATCCGTAGCTTCCTATATAGACTTTGGAGATTAACACACCTTGCTTGGAGTTGCTTCTGTGTACAGTGTTTGAACAGTCTACCTAAGAGCCAATGAGGAAAGCAATCAGGCACAGCATGGTGGGAGCACCTCTGGAAGATGATGTCCTTATACAGTGTAGTGACTCCAGTAAGATTGAGTGTGAGGTAGTTTCATGAGTAGAATGAGGAAGGAAAACATCTACTGTGTGGTGGGAGTATTATTTAACTTAAATCTTATGAAACCTTTGTCAGGCACTTTTTAAAAGAAACCTCACTTTTGCCTATAAGAAAACTGAGGCACAGACAGGTTAAGTGATTAGATATGCCTTTTTTCTTCTTCTACTGCCATAAACTCACAGGGCCACTAAAGATTCCCCAGTAGAGCAGCAGGCAGTCTTGCAAGCCAAGAAGATAAAAAGTACCCTCAAAGCTCCCTCAAATCTCTGATATCTCATTAGAAAAAATCATAATTCTTATTTGAGCAATGATTGCATTACAGATTGGATTACAATGATTGGGATTGCTGGGTCAAATGGTAACTACTTTGAACTTTTTGAGGAAATGCTAGGCTGTTTTTCAATGTGGCTGTACCATTTTACATTCTCATCAGCAGTGTATTAGGGTCCTGATTCCTCCACAGTCTTGTCAACACTTGCTATTATCTGACCTTTTGTGTAGCCATCTTAATGAGTGTAAAGTAGTATCTCTGTGGTTTTGAATTGCATTTCTCTGATGGCTAATGAGCTCCAACATCTTTTTATGTGCTTGCTAGTTATTTATCAATCTTCTTGGTAGAACTGTCTACTCTGAAACTTTGCCCACTTATAATTGTGTTGTCTTTACTATTAAATTTTGAGTGCTCTTTGTATATTCTAGATTTGCATGTCTTCTCATGTAAATGATTTACAAATAGTTTCTCCCATTCAGTGAGTTGTCTTTTTACTTTCTTGATAAGGCCCTTTGAAGCACAAAAGTGTTTAATTTAGATGAAAAGTCCAATTTGTCTATTTTTAAAATTTTTGTGCTTTTGGTGTCATATCTAAGAAAACATTGCCAAATCCCCAGTCATGAAGATTTATCTCTGTGTTTTAGTCTAAGAGATTTATAAGTTTTAACTCTTTTGCTTTTATTTTGATCCATTTGGAGTTAGCTTTTGTATATGGTGTGAGGTTGGAGTCCAAATTCATTCTTTTGGATGTGGTCCCAGCACCATTTGTTGAAAAGATAATTATTTCTCCATTTAATGACCTTGGCACCCTGTTGAAAATCAATTGACCATAGGTAGATGCATTTATTTCTAGACTCTCAATTATATTCCATTGATCTGTATGTCTATCTTTATGCCAGTACCACAATGTCTTTATTACAATTGCTTTGTAGTAAATTTTGAAAATGGAAAGTGTGAGGCTTCCAACTGTGTTCTTCTTTTTCAAAATTGTTTTAGTATTCTGGGTTTCTTGAGTTCCCACATGAATTTTAAAATTGGCTTGTCAATTTCTGCAAAGAAGCCAGCTAGGATTCTGATATAGATTGCAATGAATCTCTAGATCAACTTGGGGTATATTGCCCTCTTAGAAATATTATGTCTTCTGATCTGTGAACCTGAGATGTCTTTCTGCTATTTTTTAGATATTCTTTCATTTTATTCAACAATATTTTGTTCTTTTCAGAGTATAAGTTTTGCAGTTCTTTTGTTAAATTTACTTGTAAATATTTTACTATTTTTGATGCAAATGCAAATGTAATTTTCTTAATTTTTTTGATTGTTTATTACAAGTGTACAGAAATGCAATTGATTTTTATATATAGGTCTTGTATCTTGCAACCTTGCTGAACTTGCCTCTTCGTTCTAATTGTTTTTTAGTGGATTCCTTAGGATTTTCTTTATACACTCTCTTTCATTTTATAATCTTACTTTACATAAGTAGAACTGTCTTGACATAAACTCCTTGAAGCATGTGACAGTCATTTGCTTTAAGGTTTTCATGTCAGGGTCTCCTGGAGTTCTGAATCAAAAGAGCTTCTTTGGAAATACAGTCACCATTTACCTCCCAGCTGTGAAAAGCCAAAAAAACCCAAACTAGGCTGATACTCCTGTGTTGACCTGAGGTCATTCTGTGCCTGTCAAACCAAATAACACATTCAATCTTTTGTATATTTTGAAGACTCAGAAACCCAGAAATTTTTAGAACCTCTTTCTCACTCTAATTAAAACCTACTGCTCTGTCAATGGGAAAGAATGAGTCCAAACATTCTGAAAACCGTACAAATGTGTTTACATTTTAGTGGGGGCTTCCTGCATCTTTAACCTCTTTAAATTGACATAGGTAAGATCTTGTGTAATAACACATTTGCAAATATGCAGATGCATTTTCAAATGAATATAATCTGATTTAGAGAATATTAACTGACTATCATAGTAGACTATGGATAATACTCTAATAATTAATTACAGGTTAACATTTTTAAAACTCAAAGCATATGCTTTAAGTTTATGCTTTAAGCCACGTTATGTTCTACTTCAGCCTAATACAAGGGAGAAATTTGGAGGGGGCCCTCCTAGCTTTCTAGTCTCATTATTCCCAAATTAGAAACATTACCAGCCTAACACTAACTCTGGGGTCTAAAATGAAGTTATTTTGGCAGCCCTAGAGTTTTCTTGTCATTGATAACTGAAGATTGGCCTTTGTGCAGGTTAAATAATCAAATCTTAGAGGAAATTGACATGCTTTTAAATTATCTACAAATATTAGCCCTTAAAAGATTATATAGCAGTATATATTATGTTAACCAATCCATGTGCAGCTGATGGACTTTGTGATTCAGTGGATAATAAGCATTAGTTTTTCCTGCTTTGATCTTATGTATATCCATACAGAAAAACAAAAAAACGATGGAGAGAGAGATAGAGAGAGAGAGAGAAAAGAAAAAGAAAGTGTTGAAAAAGCTTAAAAGTCCAACATTTCAAAGCTAATCATTTTGTTGAATTGTTGCTATCACCTTGATACTTGATATATTCTGTTAGTGATTTTATCGTATGGGTATTTAGAAGCTCATTTCATGTAACTACTTCCAGCTTACTCATCCCATTTACTTTTGCATACATTTATTACTTATACACCATTTTGACCCAGATAGCAAGGTAATGTGAAAACATTTACAAATGTTGAACTTTTGTAGTAAAATAACAACAACAACAAGAACAAAAAACCAAAAGAGCAGGGAGTGCTGCTCCCAAATGGACAAAGGAAATTATGAATTAGTTTATAAGAACTGATTTTCAGACCAAACAGTGCAGTATAGTAGAGCTATAAGCACTAATGAACAGAAGAAACATAATCATGTATCACATCACCCAGCAAATATACTCTGCTACAAAACTGGTAAGATCTCAGCTTTGACTGCCACAGAGAGCAGCCCATCTGCTGCAGTCAGGAAAGAATTGTGTAATTATCTGTGATTAAGTCCTCCTTTCACCTTGGTGATTGCAAGAATTGTCAGTGGGGGAGAAATATCCTATCCTAGTTTTACTCTAGACTCAGGCTCTTTAATCATATTGTTGAGTGACTCCTGAGTATAAACTCTAGCTTTTGAACACTTTGGGTCATTTTTAATGTTTTGATTTGTTTTCATCATTGCTTGCCATTTCAGTATGTGTCATGTTTGAGTCTGCCAAGAAGCAGCTTTTCCACTTAGCAAACAGAATTGTGAAAAAAATATACATGGTCCACTTTCTAGGGAGTCTTGTAGCAGCTAGTGATCAAATTAGAGTATTTTTTCCCTTAATTTCTGATGTTAATTCCCACAATAAATTTAGTTTGTGGAATGTCATTAAAGTCTTACAACATGTCTCCCGTTTCTTCTAGAGCATCCCTGGAAAGTTGAAGTAACAGGAATATGTCAAAGCTATAAGTATTTAATTTGAAATTTTGGAAAACTATGGCTTAAGATACTGCATATGTTTTCCATATGAATATGCAAATTATCCTATTCATGAAAGGCTCTGTTGTATATCATATTTTACATGTACACTAATCTGAATGTATATGTATATACCTTGATGAATTTTTTTTTTTTTTTTTTGAGACGGAGTCTCTCTGTTGCCCAGGCTGGAGTTCAGTGGCATGATCTCAGCTCACTGCAACCTCTGCCTCCTGGGTTCAAGCGATCCTCCTGCCTCAGATCCCCAGTAGCTGGGATTACAGGCATGCACCACCATGCCTGGCTAATTTTTGTATTTTTAGTAAACATGGGGTTTCACCATGTTGGCCAGTCTGGTCTCAAACTCCTGACCTCAGATGATCCACCTGCCTTGTCCTCCCAAAGTTCTAGGATTACAGGCATGAGCCACTGCGCCCAGCCTGATGAATTCTTATTATAACAATTTAACTTACTGTAAACCTGACATCTTAAGTAATGCATCACTTTGTTTATATAAAATATATTTGGTATATTTCCTGATGTATTAGTCCATTTTCATGCTGCTGATAAAGACATACCCAAGACTGGGAAGAAAAAGAGGTTTAATTGGACTTACAGTTCCACGTGGCTGGGGAGGCCTCAGAATCGTGGCGGGAGGTGAAGGGGACTACTTAGATGGTGGCAGCAAGAAAAAATGAGGAAGAAGCAAAAGCAGAAACCCCTGATAAACCCATTAGATCTCATGAGACTTATTAACTATTATGAGAATAGCATGGGGAAGACCAACCCCCATGATTCCATTACCTCCCCCTGGGTCCCTCCCACAACACATGGGAATTCTGCGAGATACAGTTCAAGTTGAGATTTGGGTGGGGACACAGCCAAACCATATTGTTCTGCCCCTGGCCCCTCCAAATCTCATGTCCTCACATTTCAAAACCAATCATGCCTTCCCAACAGTTCCCCAAAGTCTTAACTCATTTCAGCATTAACCCAAAAGTCCACAGTCCAAAGTCTCATTTGAGACAAGGCAAGTCCCTTCCGCCTAGGAGCCTGTAAAAATCAAAAGCAAACTAGTTACTTCCTAGATACAATGGGGATACAGGTATTGGGTAAATACACCCATTCCAAATGGGAGAATTTGGCCAAAAACAAAGGGGTTACAGGGCCCATGCAAGTCCAAAATCCAGTGGAGCAGCCACATTTTAAAGCTCCAAAATGATCTCCTTTGACTGCAGGTCTCACACCCAGGTCACGCTGATGCAAGAGGTAGGTTCTTATGGTCTCGGGCAGCTCAGCCCCTGTGGCTTTGCAGGGTACAGCCTCCCTCCTGCCTGCTTTCATGGGCTAGTATTGAGTGTCTGCAGCTTTCCCGGGCACACAGTGCAAGCTGTCAGTGGATCTACCATTCTGGGTTCTGGAAGATGGTGGCCCTCTTTTCACAGCTCCAGTAGGGAGTGCCCCTGTAGGGACTCTGTCTGGGGGCTCCAACCCCACATTTCCCTTCTGCACTGCCCTAGCAGAGGTTCTCCATGAGGGCCCCACCCCTACAGCAAACTTCTGCCTGGGCAGCTAGGCATTTCCATACATCTTATGAAATCTAGGCAGAGGTTCCCCAACCTCAGTTCTTGACTTCTGTGCACCCACAGGCTCAACACCACATGGAAGCTGCCAAGGTTTGGGGCTTCCACCCTCTGAAGCCACAGCCCAAGCTGTACACTGGCCCCACTCAGCCACGGTTTGAGTGGCTGGGGCACAGGGTACCAATTCCCCAAGCTGCATACAGCACGGGGACCCTGGGCCTGGCCCATGAAACCACTTTTTCCTCCTGGGCCTCCAGGCCTATGATGGGAGTGGCTGCTGTGAAGGTCTCTGACATGGCCTGAAGACATTTTATCCACGGTCTTGGGGATTAACGTTAGGCTCCTTGCTACTTATGCAAATTTCTGCAGCCGGCTTGAATTCCCCCGCAGAAAATGGGTTTTCCTTTTCTACTGCATAGTCAGGCTGCAATTTTTCAAAACTTTTTTGCTCTGCTTCCCTTATAAAACTGAATGCCTTTAACAGAACCCAAGTCACCTCTTGAATGCTTTGGTGCTTAGAAATTTCTTCCACCACATACTGTAAATCATCTTTCTCAAGTTCAAAGTTCCACAAATCTCTAGGGCAGGGGCAAAATGCCACCAGTCTCTTTGCTAAAACATAACAAGAGTCACCTTTCTTCCAGTCCCCAAGTCCTTCATCTCCATCTGAGACCAACCCAGCCTGGACCTTATTGTCAATATCATCAGCATTTTGGGCAAAGCCATTCAACAAGCCTCTAGGAAGTTCCAAACTTTCCCACATTTTCCTCTCTTCTTCTGAGCCCTCCAAACTCTTCTAACCCCTGCCTGTTACCCAGTTCCAACATTGCTTCCACATTTTCGGGTATCTTTTCAGCAACACCCCACTGTACTGGTACCAATTTACTGTATTAGTTTATTTTCACACTGCTGATAAAGGCATACCCGAGACTGAGAAGAAAAAGAGGTTTAATTGGACTTATATTTCCACATGGTTGGGGAGGCCTCAGAATCTTGGCGAGAGGTGAAAGGCACTTCTTACATGGCAGCGGCAAGAGAAAATGAGGAAGAAGCAAAAGCAGAAAGCCCCTGATAAACCCATGAGATCTTTTGAGACTTATTAACTATCATGAGAATAGCACGGGGAAGACTGGCCCCCATTATTCAAGTACCTTCCCGTGGGTCCCTTCCACAACACATGGGAATTTTGGGAGATACAATTCAAGCTGAGATTTGGGTGGGGACACAGCCAAATCATATCACTTGACATTTTATTTACTGTTTTCAATTAGAGAAAAATAAAACATTTTCTCATGGATAGGTAACATTTAGAAACATGTTCCAAATCTGTGCTCTAATTACAACTTTGATAATTGTCCTATCAATTTAGCTGCTTTGATGAGGCTACTCCTGGAACTTATTAACAGGCTTCTTGTCAAACTACAAAAAAGATGCTTGTTTTCCAGGAAAGCAACTATCCGTTAAATCTAAGAATACATTAAATTGTTCAGGTACAAGTATCCAGGAGCAGAGATAGAACACAACTTTGTTCTATGCTACTAAAATAGTCATTTTCTCTCACTGAAGGCTGTGCATTCCCTGTCTAACTCTAAAGGTTGTACTGTGATTAAAAACTCAGAAAGAACTTTTATTATTCACATCAGAGATAAAAAGGTGGCTTTATGATACCCTCTGGGTAGGAGCTTACACAGTTGGGCCAATTAAATCATGTTGAGAGAGAGCAACTAAGCAAACGTGCCTATTTGATTTGCTTGATTTCCCATGTTTGCTGTGATCAGTGGCTTTCTCTTTTGTCTGTTCCTTGGATTCCTGATTTGGCTTTGCCTCTAGGCATTAGATGTTATCTTTGGAGGCATCCTTCTATGAGCATTCATTTTTGGACCAAGCCTGGATTTACAATTCTATTACTGGCCCAGACTTCATTTCTATCCAATTTCATTCCACTGTGCTATAGTTTACAACATATAATTTGACTTATAAATAATTCCTGACTATGGGTTTAAAGACTGAAAATGGATCAATAGAAACTTTGAAAATGTTAACATCTTGATTGCTTTTCTCAGTGTAGAAATGGACAATGTTTAGCTTAAAAACTGCATGTTTTTAATGAGATACGGGGTTGAAAGACTTATTCCTGGAATTTATTGTTCTGGAGAAAGCCTGTTGCTATCTGCCATACCTTGGTTTACTTTGTGCAAAATGAGCTTCTTTTTAAGTAATGAGCTCTTTCCATGTTCAGCTTAAATTGCTGTCTTAGACACTTCATCAGGGTTCCCTGCTCTGCCTCATTCCCCTTTTTGCTCACTTGCAGCCTTTGACATAATCCTGGGAGGCAATTGGCATCATACATATTTTGCTTTGTAATCTCCTGCTTTGATTCTGACTGGGTACCCAGTCTGCTCACTTTGCTTCTATCTTAAACAGGTTGACACATACCAGAAACTTAGTACTAAGTTATGTGTGTTGTAAGTTAATTGAGAGTCCTCTTCTTGATTAAAATATAGGTCTTTAGAACAGTGTTTTCCAAAATATTCCACAAAACAAATTTATGTACAGATGTCCCTGCCTTAATAATAGAGGGTTGATACATGGAAAGGACAGAAGTTTGGACATTTAACTTATCACGTTTGGTATAGATTGGGTGTTAGTTATAAGAGATTAAAGACATACTCAATTCTATAGTGTAAATGCTTCACTATATCATTAGGTTTTTGAGGTGAGCAAGGAAATGTTCACACTAAACAATTATGATTTAGGAAGGCTTAAATAGTTATTTTTTAGAACAGAATTTAAGTCACTTTTTTCCTTTTCTCATTATTCTGAAATAAAGTAATTATTGCTGAATAAAATAACTGACTGCACGTTATCTTAACAGATTAATTCTTTTAATCCTCACCTTAAAGTAAACTCAATTGATTCTGGTTAAATCTTCCTTTTTTTCATCTGAATTACAAGAAACCCAATGGTAATGTTTCTTGCAATATGTTTTATAAAAATTTTATTTGGAAAGTTTGAAAAATTTCTACACATAATTGAAAAGGATAAGTTGGGCACAGTGGTGCCTGCGTGTAGTCCCAGCTACTCAGGAAGCTGAGGCAAGGAGGATTGCTGGAGGCAAGGAAGTTGAGGACAGAGTGTGCTATGATCATGCCTGTGAATAGCCACTGCACTCCTGCCTGGACAATTTAGCAAGACTCTATCTTTTTTGAAAAGAAAGAAAGAAAGAAAGAGAAAGAAAGAAAAGAAAGAAAGAAAGAAAGAGAAAGAAAGAAGGAAGGAAGGAAGGAAAGAAAGAAAGAAAGAAATGGCATTAGGGATAACAGAATTTAATCAAAGTAGTAAAATGATCATTCTATGGGTATCAAACAAATAAATGAATATCGTATACTTCAAACAAGTGAGTTAAATAATTGATAGTCTGATATAAAGTCAGATTTAACAAGAGTTTCTACATGAAAAGTTCTATAAGTAGGTCTGAACTGATTAACTACTACTAAGAGAATTCTCTTTGTAACAGGCCAGCACCTACTGAAGCCTTTCTTTCTTTTAATACTGCAAACATGTTTGCTGTTTAAAATAGGGAAACCAGCTACCCATGAAATCATGCTGCCATTTTTTCCTCATTAGCCCTTTGGTCTGGTCTTCCTTGGAGAAGTTGATGTTCCTCAATAGATAGACTAACAGTGCAGTTGGAGAAGCAGAGTTTTACTCAATTAATTATATTTCTTTGCCCTTCCGTGGTTGGCTGATAACACTTGTTACTTAAGAGGAATGGTAGTTTCGCCTTAAGGTAGGAGTATCTCAGGAAATGCAGGAAACTAAGGCAACACAACTAATATTCCAGCTGTAATAACAAGTCCAAGGGTTCTACCTCTCAGGGAAAACTGTTGGCACGCTGCCTTCTTTACACTTGCAGCCCTTTCAGGCCTCAGGCAAGTGTTATTCTGAGGTGAAGGAGGCTGTTCAGGATGACGTAATTTCTCTGTCTGCCTTTCTCCATGTTGCTTTGAGCCAAGTCTATTGTGAGATAAAATGCCTGTTTCAGGCAGCAGCCATCTCTCCAAAGCTTTGTAGCAGAGTTAGCTTTATTTAATGTGCTGTTGGGAAGGATAGGGGGAAAAAAGAGACCTAGCTTCTTAATAAGAACTTGAAGTGCCATTCATTTAACAAATCTTATTGAATACATACTATGTAACTGGCCCTGTGACCCTTATGCTTTTAAAATTTATTAGGAAGGGAGACGTTGTGAGAGCCGGGAGGGGAACTTTTTCTTAGAGTGTATTGTTGTATTTGAGATTACTGTCTTTTGCCAGACTAGATAATTAAGAATAAAAAGCTATGTACACCTCTACCACTTCTTTCAGTCAGGTGAAAGTAATTTCTCTCTCCCTTCTTCAAATAGCTCTCATTGAAATTTGGCCTACTTTCCTCAATAGCAATTTTAGATATATAGTGAGAAAAGCCGATATGTGTGCTTTGGCCATTTTCCCCATGACTAATTTTTCTTGTTTTATAGTGCTATCACCCACTCAGAGAAAGTAATAGCACTATTCATTTTAAACAATTGCTTGATACATCTGGATTTAGTCAGGTGAAGATCCAAATCATGACAGCTCTTTGGATCCCAGTTGTCTAATATATCATAGAATCAGAGATCAGCTTCAGTGAGATGGAAACAGTACTCTCAGCTACAATAGTGGGCTATCAACATTTTAACTTTCTGTTTCAGTTTTCATTTCTCCTCCTGACTGTGATATTGGCTTAGGTATTCTATAATTCTGCTTCTGTCTTTGGTTACTTTTGCTCACATGTGAAAAACATAATTTAATTTGTGTGGAATTTATTTCAGCAAACTGTTATGTTAGTTAGCTAAGTAAAATTCCAACTTAACAAACTCTGAAGTTTCCAGAATCTTTCATTGTAACATGTTAAATGATAATGAATATACCCTCTGCTAATTAGACTTGGTAATAAACAAAGCAACTGTCCAGCCTTTTCTTGTTAATCAATCAGCAAATTAAAAAACCTCTTTAACCAATCTCACCACTTTGGGAGGCCGAGGCGGGTGGATCACGAGGTCAGGAGTTTGAGGCCAGCCTGGCCAACATGGCAAAACCCCGTCTCCACTAAAAATACAAAAATTAGCTGGGCGTGGTGGCAGGTGCCTGTAATCCCAGCTACTTGGGAGGCTGAGGCAGGAGAATCGCTTGAACCCGGGAGGTGTAGGTTGCAGTGAGCCCAGATCGTGCCACTGCACTGCAGCCTGGGCTACTGAGCCTCCATCTGGGGCCCGAGTGAGTGGGGTGTTGGGGGAGTCTTTCTCTCTTTTTTTTTTCGAGACGGAGTCTCGCTGTGTCGCCCAGGCTGGAGTGTGGTGGTGCAATCTCAGCTCACTGCAACCTCTGCCTCCCGGGTTCAAGCGATTCTCCTAAAAAAAAAAGAAGTCTCTTGAACCTAGTTAAAGCCCCTACTAGCACTTGGGGTGTCTTTGTAAGAATTAGCAAAAAGTGCTCCCTCTGCACAGAGCAAGTAAAACAAAGGCTTTATCCAAAGAGGCTGGAGTTCCTTTGGCTGGCTGAGTGGGAGGCGACCTAGGCCTTCCCTACACACTGGGCCTGGTGCTCCTGTGCAGGCCGCGACCTTCGTAACCATCATGGCAGCCCTGTGCCTGATACGGGAAGGCAGGAAGTAGAATTCTGTACCACTTCTGAGCCCTTCCCATCTTCACATTTCTGGAGGTTTTCTTATTTTTTTTTTTTTTTATTTAATGGCGTTAATCCACTTTGTCGGTAGTTATAAATGAGAAGGAAGGCCAGAGAATTACTATTTGATTTTAGGATAAACAAAGTGGAATAACCGTGGTGGCAGTTCAATGCAAGGTTTCCCTTCCAATATGCAATGTTAGGAAGCACATAGCAGACTTTTTCCTTAAAAAAACAAAAACCTGGATAGTAATCTAAAGAATCACTCAGAAGGATTTGTTCATTTTAAAGAATGTATTATAAAATGTTATTAAATGACTGATTCTATGGCCAATGTACACACACACATACACGTATAGAATAAAACTTCTCGGGTATGTGTTATTTATGATTATGTATTCATAATTATAACGAAGCTAAGTCACCATTATCTTTTCTGCTTTAAAGTATCAGAAGCTGCTACCTTGCCATGAAAAAGTATTACATGCTCCTCCAATTCCTTCCCCACCATATTTATCCAACAGGAAAGGAATGAATAATAAAACTTTGGGCTTTTTTTCCCTTCTTTTTTTTCCAGGTGATGTGTTCCACCTCACTGTCCCCAGTAAATTCACCTTCGAGGAGGCTGCAAAAGAGTGTGAAAACCAGGATGCCAGGCTGGCAACAGTGGGGGAACTCCAGGCGGCATGGAGGAACGGCTTTGACCAGTGCGATTACGGGTGGCTGTCGGATGCCAGCGTGCGCCACCCTGTGACTGTGGCCAGGGCCCAGTGTGGAGGTGGTCTACTTGGGGTGAGAACCCTGTATCGTTTTGAGAACCAGACAGGCTTCCCTCCCCCTGATAGCAGATTTGATGCCTACTGCTTTAAACGTAAGTGTTTGATACCTTTTTAAAAATTACAGTTTTAAAAAAAATGCTTCGAAGCATGCATTGATGTTCAACTAGCCGTTGGAGTGGATTCCATGTCTTGCAGTGTGTGCACGGAATGGAAACAGTTCAGTGATTTTCAAAAGCAAGCAAACTGAACAGCAGTGATATGGTTAAAACCACAGGAATTTTGGCAAATGGATTTTTAGAGGGGTGAGGAAATATCAGGTTAAGCTGTAACTGTGCTCTGTTGTGTCCAGAGCCACAGAGCATTTTTCTAAGTATTTTATATTAATTGCAGTCCTTAAGTTTTGCAATTTGTTTATTGGTGTTACAATGCCAAGGCCAACTGAGGCTGAGTTAAATCCTTAAGATTGTTGATTTTGTCTTCGGTATCACTCTGTTTCTTTGAGATGGCAAAGAATTTAAATTTCAGTAATTACAGGTGAGTATTTGAAGCTGACATGGATACTCAAAATGTTCAAGTCATAACTAAAAATGAACCATACTATCAATAAAAATCTCCATTTATGTCAAGTAATGGAAATACATGCCTTCTAATCATTAATTCTGTAGTATCATATTGACGTACAATATGTGTTCTTTGCAACCTATAACAGAGTATCTTTAGTTAGGTTTACTAATTAACATTTTTTTTTAAATAACATTTCTCAACATTCATGATATAATTATTTTAATTTTCCAGATGTCCTCAAGTAATTTTAGCAGTAGTAGTCACATGATATAGTATCATAGTTGTAGAATGCAAATTAAACAAGCAAGTAATCTAGCATCTCATTGGAATATTTACTGAACCATCTATACTATGCTAGCTAAACAAAGATCTCCCAGAATTTTGGTGACCTTGGGTAATATCCAAGACAGAGTTAGGTTATGTTGAAACAAATTTGTAAACAACTTTGACTAAATTTCCAATGTATCTTGTTATAGCAATATGTCTCTAAAACGAGTACAAAATGTACTAGCTTATTATATAATTGATTTCTAGAGTGAAATACACAGGCATTTTTAAGCAACCAAAAATACACAGACTGTGATGTTCTAGGTAGTCAGTAGAATGGATGTTAATGCAACCAAAAGGTTTGTTTTCACACTTTTATCTCCTAGCTAAGAAGCCTCTGCTCTGATCTCCTCCCTTAGACTCAACTTTCTGAGTGTTAAAGCCATGTGTTCTGTATTAGCTTGCCACAAGCTGGTCGCTCCATAAAGACTGTAGAAAATGCTGGCTTTTGTTCTCAGGCCCTGAAACAACAGAATTCTTCCTTAATCATTTTCAGGAAAACAACAATAGCATAAACCTTATCTCTAAAAGTAGACAGATGTACATTCCTTTAAGCTACATTGTCACAACAATGATTTTTCAAGTACTTCAGGCTCTAAAATCAGTTTTACATTACGTGACTGATATAATTAAGGAGCAAAATCAGATTGGTATGCTGTGGGGAAGGCATTGGAGAGGTTAAATTAGGGAACGAATAGAATTATCCAGCCTGACTTCCTTATTTGATATTTTCTTGTGCTTTATTAATAAAACTGGCACTGGAAAACTTTTAAACAACATTTTTCGTCTCTCTGTGGGTAAAATTTAAATCAAAGCCTGTCTGTAGCCACAAAGACTATTATTAAAGAATTCATCCTGATGTGTTTTAAATTATTTATTTAATTGAAAAATACACATGAAATAACAAGGTACTTATGTTTAAATAGAGTAACCAAAATCTGCACAAAATTCAAAAAATGTTTAAAAGTTTATATTCATTTTTATCTCTCTAATTCATTTACATGTATGTAACTTGTAAATATAATGGACTCATTATTTTGCTTTCCTTCCCACCTAAGCATGTGGCTAGATTCTTATTTATTTCCTACTTAAGACGTTATTATATTCAGAATTCATTTAGTGCGTAGAAGGTTAAAAGCATTTAGCCATATAGAAGCCTTTCTTAAACCACACATAATGCCAATAGTTTTCCAAAATTTCTAATTTATTTTTCAAAAAATTTTTTAGTGTATATGTGTGTGTGTGTGTGTGTGTGTATTTTTTTTTTTTTTTGAGGTGGAGTTTCGCTCTTGTTGCCCAGGCTGGAGTGCAATGGTGCCATCTCAGCTCACTGCAAGCTTCACCTTCCAGGTTCAAGTGATTCTCCTGCCTTCTCCTGCCTCAGCCACCCAAGTAGCTGGGTTATAGGCATGCGCCACCGTGCCCGGCTAATTTTGTGTTTTTAGTAGAGATGGGGTTTCATCATGTTGGTCAGGTTGGTCTCGAACTCCTGACCTCAGGTGATCCACCCATTTTGGCTTCCCAAAGTGCTGGGATTACAGGAGTGAGCCACTGCTCCTGGCCTAGTATATATTTTTAAAGAATTTGAAAAATATTTTCAAAATGACTTAATTGATGTCCACCTTTCCCACATAGTCAAGTAGTGACTAAATTCTGTAGGGTAAAATTCATAAGAGTCATGGCCTCAGCTACAGTTCCAAAGTGATTTCAGAGATATACAGCTGGCTGGTTATGTAGAGGAATTTAGAAATATAACCATATTTTTCTTGTTTGCTTCTACCAAACGTAGAAAGTGTTTTTTAAGTCACTTGGTGAATAAACAATGCCAAATCGTACCTTGCTTTAATTCCCTTTGCCTCACAAAGTCACTGACTAAAACATTCACAAAGACAGATAAAAGACATAAAATTAGGCTTTATTCTTTTCAAATAAATTTGAAAAGTAAGCAAAGTAATGTCTTTGTAAGATAAAGTTTTCCTGTATATCTTCTCTTAATGATTAAACAATTTTGCATATTTAGTTTTTTACTTCAGAATTTAGCAAGTTCTGTGAAAGTTGGAGAGTTATACAAGGCTTTGAAAGATCATTTCATACATCCCCAAACTTAAGTGAATCAAAACCATTCAAAACTCATGATAATCTCTCACAGAATGTGATTAATTATCTCCAGGAGAGGGAGATGGAACATGTTTCCTAGAAAACTCATTCTAATATTCCATGACCTTCACTCTCAGATAATTTTTCTAATTAAGTACTTTGCATTTGAATTTGAACCCATGTTTTCATTTTTGAGTTGGAGACCAAAATCTGAATAACAGCCATTTCTATTGTTGATCACAATTGTTTATTTATCCCTCAGCATCTTCTCCAACTGAAACAGTTTTCTTGTTTTACAGTTTCAATCTCCAAATTTCTAATTATTGATATGTTCTTGCTTTGAAGTTTCATCATTGTTTAGCACATTCCTCTATTTATGCTTAAGTTTAGAAATCAAGATGGTGGTCCAGAGAAGGCTAAATTAATTCCCACCACTTTCTATCCTATCTTATATACTCATTCACTGTTAAAATTTGCCTGCCCTTCTAACCTTTGGTTAGTTCATTATCTTTTTTGTGTGTGCCCTAGTTCATAATCTGACCACATGTGCCAAAACTAACCTTTCCCCGATTGGTATATTACAAATGTTTCCTGTTTATTGAATTTGAATTTGTTAGCATTCCATCACTCATATAACTTTAAAAAGATAGTTTGAATTGGCCGGGCGCGGTCGCTCACGCCTGTAATCCCAGCATTTTGGGAGGCCAAGGTGGGCGGATCATGAGGTCAGGAGATCGAGACCATCCTGGCTAACACGGTGAAACCCCATCTCTACTAAAAATACAAAAAATTAGCCGGGCATGGTGGCGGGCGCCTGTAGTCCCAGTCCCTAACCCAAACCCTAACCCTAACCCTAACCCTATCCCTAGCCTGTAGTCCCAGTCGGGAGGCTGAGGCAGGAGAATGGCGTGAACCTGGGAGGTGGAGCTTGCAGTGAGACAAGATTGTGCCACTGCACTCCAGCCTGGACTACAGAGCAAGACTCTGTCTCAAAAAAAAAAATTATATATATAGAGTTTGAATTGTAATTTCACTGCTCCAATCTTTACAGTTTTATAACCATGTTTACATTTAGTTATGTATAACAAATTTAATATAGAAGAACCAAGTTAAAATTAGTCATTTCTCAATAATGTAGAGAGCATGGGAATAAGTTAAATTGACTATCATGCTGCTAATGGGGGTTTTAAGTTTTATTAGGAAAATCTGTCTCATGTCTCGCAACAGAAGCAGAGAAGATGGCCCATAGGACAAAAATGCCATAAGTACAGTGATGTGAAACATCTGTGGGCAGACAGCTGCAAAGGTTGGAAAGGAACTTTTGTGGGAAAAGAATCGTGTTGATTTATGTTGGCTTCCTCAATAATAAAGTTGAAGGAATACTGGTAGTTTTCCAGAGCCAAAACTTCTCCATGTGAATGCACCTATTGGAAGGACACTGTTAGAATAATCTGGAATTGTTTTTACCTTTACAATAGTCATCAGAATACAGTGGTATTTATTCTTAAAATATCTCTTCGTAGATATTGTGCTTTATAAAATTATTTCCTTTTGTGGAATGGTTGAAACAAATGGCACAAATCCTCAGATACACTGACTTGTGATCAAAATCAGCTGTTAAGTTGATGAAAAAGCCACCCAAACTGAAAAGGAAGTCTGAGGTTTTCCATTCCAAGTAGTAGAATTAATTAACTTAATTATAAGCAGACCTTTTCTTTTTTAAAATAGGGCTCTAAAATTATTGAAAACCCTTGTTTTTGGAAACAAAGTCACATAAATACTGGCTTTCTAGAACAGATTCTCTAGGACATATTGCTACCACTTTATTACACAGCAGGACTAGAGGAAGGAATGCAACAGCAAACTCCATAGTAATAATTGACAATGAAATCTAGTTATTTAGTTTTAAAAATATGAGTCAACTTTTAAAACACTATAAACATATTTTCATAGCATTGTAGAAAGTTGCTAGCAGAGAGCTTGGATTGGAACATAGGAAGCCTGGATTCACAGCCCCTTTGGCCCTAATGCAATTGTACCTGTTTCTAAGTTAATTTCATCAGCCAAGGAAATACTCAGAGGGAAAAAGTAAATTTAGCTTTTTTGTTGTTATTAATAATAATATGATTAAATTTTCTCTAATATGCTGTTTGCTAAGTATTTATATTATGTTTCCATGGGAACTTTTTCTGTATGTATCTTTTTACTATTTCCCCAAAGAATGCAGTTATAAGACAAACATGAAATTTGGCAGTTAAATGAAGTAATGGTTATGGAATTTCAGAGGATAGAGAATTGAATTAAAATAGTCATCCACATTTTGGGTTTTTAAGTTGTTCATGTCAATCAAAATAGAACAACGCTTCTTCCAGGAAATGAATGTAGAAAAAGCTTTTCTTTAAAAAGGGGAGGAAAAGGTTATTTAATGTTTTTAAACTCCAACTCTTTTTTGGTTAGTTTTGTTTTAATATTAGAAAGATAAATAATGACAGACTTTAAAGAATATTTAAATGTATCATAATGTAAATAGCCCTCAAATGTTCATGATAAAATCAGTGAAGCTGAGCTTTAAAATGGTCTGGGGAATGACCACAACTAATAACAGCTCGTGCCAGACAAAAAATAAGGAACCTGTTACAGCCCTAGTCTGATTTACAATAAAATCACATCATTTTATGATTAAGTTTTTACAGAGCAAATGGAGCTAAAAGGTAGCCTGTTTTGTTTTTTGAGGGCTCCTGTTCTGGAATTATTAAAAATAAAAAAGAAGATACTATAGATACTATGGCTATTACACCTCTTTTCAGGGCAAACAAGCATTTACTCATAAAACTAGCTTTAAGTCCTATAGGATGTAGCAAAACAATAACTACAGGTTTCTTCAGGACAGTTCTTTTGAGTTCAGTGGCAACTATTAATAGGTTTTTATTTTTAAAAATACTGATTTTTATTTTAAAAAAACAATCATTATATAGTAGGCTGCTGCCTTTTCCCTGTGTTGAGAAAGAATCTTGTTTACAAACTGTTGCTTTTATACACAATTTAAATTTCTTTCAACAGGCCAGGCCATTCTCTGTAAATCTGGAGCCATTATAATGCAGCATTTTATGATGACAGGTTACTTTATATTGCCTGAGCCTGTTCTTTCTGATGCTTAGGGTTGTTCCCAGTGATTTGTAATTACAGACCTAAAATACATTATGTGGGTACTTTACTTCCTGTTCTACATTTGTGTTTCAGGCTAAAGTAAGCCTGGAAACAAGATCCTTAGGAGATACAAACAGAGTGTGTAGAACATAGAACAAAATGTAGAACTACAACAAATGCCGACTAGCCTCTGCCAGGCACATTTTATAATTTATTAGAAACAAATCTACACCATGAAGTTGAAAGAAGGATGAAGACAAATGTCCAACACCTGGGATCAAGTGAAGAGTGGTATTAAAAAGTTTTAATATCCTGTTTTTATGAAAGTCTCCACATTATGGACAATGTAATGGTTTATATGTAACTTGGATACATTTCATGTGGCTTTTTTGTTGTTTTGCAATCTGAGACACACCCTCTCCCCTGAGATAATATGCAGCAACTTGAAAAGAAGGGAGCATGTGGAGAAAGCTGGAGACAGGGTACAGAAGCCTCCAGAAGAATAGTACTAAATTCTCCTGCGAGGCTTCAAGTTGACGCTGTAGTTTCTGGTAAATAAACAATCTACTGTATCTAAAATCTGCATTTATATTTTTGGGAGCTTTTCCTTATCTTAAAACTACATAATATTAATTTTCCTCAACTGGTAACAGTCATGCATACTTTTAGGTAAAAGCAGTGATAACCCTTATAACGTAAAACAACTGATCAATTTATGACTATTAAGTGTTCAATTATCTGTCCTTGGGTTAATTCAAGTATAGTTTTAAGACTCCTCTCCATCACAGAACATTTCTGGGCCACCCAAAAATACTCCCTACAAAATACTCAGGAGCACTTAACAAACACTGGGCATACAAGTTTTTATTAGTGACTTGTCTAATCAACTCTTTGAAATTATTTTTCTAGCTAAAGAGGCTACAACCATCGATTTGAGTATCCTCGCAGAAACTGCATCACCCAGTTTATCCAAAGAACCACAAATGGTTTCTGATAGAACTACACCAATCATCCCTTTAGTTGATGAATTACCTGTCATTCCAACAGAGTTCCCTCCCGTGGGAAATATTGTCAGTTTTGAACAGAAAGCCACAGTCCAACCTCAGGCTATCACAGATAGTTTAGCCACCAAATTACCCACACCTACTGGCAGTACCAAGAAGCCCTGGGATATGGATGACTACTCACCTTCTGCTTCAGGACCTCTTGGAAAGCTAGACATATCAGAAATTAAGGAAGAAGTGCTCCAGAGTACAACTGGCGTCTCTCATTATGCTACGGATTCATGGGATGGTGTCGTGGAAGATAAACAAACACAAGAATCGGTTACACAGATTGAACAAATAGAAGTGGGTCCTTTGGTAACATCTATGGAAATCTTAAAGCACATTCCTTCCAAGGAATTCCCTGTAACTGAAACACCATTGGTAACTGCAAGAATGATCCTGGAATCCAAAACTGAAAAGAAAATGGTAAGCACTGTTTCTGAATTGGTAACCACAGGTCACTATGGATTCACCTTGGGAGAAGAGGATGATGAAGACAGAACACTTACAGTTGGATCTGATGAGAGCACCTTGATCTTTGACCAAATTCCTGAAGTCATTACGGTGTCAAAGACTTCAGAAGACACCATCCACACTCATTTAGAAGACTTGGAGTCAGTCTCAGCATCCACAACTGTTTCCCCTTTAATTATGCCTGATAATAATGGATCATCCATGGATGACTGGGAAGAGAGACAAACTAGTGGTAGGATAACGGAAGAGTTTCTTGGCAAATATCTGTCTACTACACCTTTTCCATCACAGCATCGTACAGAAATAGAATTGTTTCCTTATTCTGGTGATAAAATATTAGTAGAGGGAATTTCCACAGTTATTTATCCTTCTCTACAAACAGAAATGACACATAGAAGAGAAAGAACAGAAACACTAATACCAGAGATGAGAACAGATACTTATACAGATGAAATACAAGAAGAGATCACTAAAAGTCCATTTATGGGAAAAACAGAAGAAGAAGTCTTCTCTGGGATGAAACTCTCTACATCTCTCTCAGAGCCAATTCATGTTACAGAGTCTTCTGTGGAAATGACCAAGTCTTTTGATTTCCCAACATTGATAACAAAGTTAAGTGCAGAGCCAACAGAAGTAAGAGATATGGAGGAAGACTTTACAGCAACTCCAGGTACTACAAAATATGATGAAAATATTACAACAGTGCTTTTGGCCCATGGTACTTTAAGTGTTGAAGCAGCCACTGTATCAAAATGGTCATGGGATGAAGATAATACAACATCCAAGCCTTTAGAGTCTACAGAACCTTCAGCCTCTTCAAAATTGCCCCCTGCCTTACTCACAACTGTGGGGATGAATGGAAAGGATAAAGACATCCCAAGTTTCACTGAAGATGGAGCAGATGAATTTACTCTTATTCCAGATAGTACTCAAAAGCAGTTAGAGGAGGTTACTGATGAAGACATAGCAGCCCATGGAAAATTCACAATTAGATTTCAGCCAACTACATCAACTGGTATTGCAGAAAAGTCAACTTTGAGAGATTCTACAACTGAAGAAAAAGTTCCACCTATCACAAGCACTGAAGGCCAAGTTTATGCAACCATGGAAGGAAGTGCTTTGGGTGAAGTAGAAGATGTGGACCTCTCTAAGCCAGTATCTACTGTTCCCCAATTTGCACACACTTCAGAGGTGGAAGGATTAGCATTTGTTAGTTATAGTAGCACCCAAGAGCCTACTACTTATGTAGACTCTTCCCATACCATTCCTCTTTCTGTAATTCCCAAGACAGACTGGGGAGTGTTAGTACCTTCTGTTCCATCAGAAGATGAAGTTCTAGGTGAACCCTCTCAAGACATACTTGTCATTGATCAGACTCGCCTTGAAGCGACTATTTCTCCAGAAACTATGAGAACAACAAAAATCACAGAGGGAACAACTCAGGAAGAATTCCCTTGGAAAGAACAGACTGCAGAGAAACCAGTTCCTGCTCTCAGTTCTACAGCTTGGACTCCCAAGGAGGCAGTAACACCACTGGATGAACAAGAGGGCGATGGATCAGCATATACAGTCTCTGAAGATGAATTGTTGACAGGTTCTGAGAGGGTCCCAGTTTTAGAAACAACTCCAGTTGGAAAAATTGATCACAGTGTGTCTTATCCACCAGGTGCTGTAACTGAGCACAAAGTGAAAACAGATGAAGTGGTAACACTAACACCACGCATTGGGCCAAAAGTATCTTTAAGTCCAGGGCCTGAACAAAAATATGAAACAGAAGGTAGTAGTACAACAGGATTTACATCATCTTTGAGTCCTTTTAGTACCCACATTACCCAGCTTATGGAAGAAACCACTACTGAGAAAACATCCCTAGAGGATATTGATTTAGGCTCAGGATTATTTGAAAAGCCCAAAGCCACAGAACTCATAGAATTTTCAACAATCAAAGTCACAGTTCCAAGTGATATTACCACTGCCTTCAGTTCAGTAGACAGACTTCACACAACTTCAGCATTCAAGCCATCTTCCGCGATCACTAAGAAACCACCTCTCATCGACAGGGAACCTGGTGAAGAAACAACCAGTGACATGGTAATCATTGGAGAATCAACATCTCATGTTCCTCCCACTACCCTTGAAGATATTGTAGCCAAGGAAACAGAAACCGATATTGATAGAGAGTATTTCACGACTTCAAGTCCTCCTGCTACACAGCCAACAAGACCACCCACTGTGGAAGACAAAGAGGCCTTTGGACCTCAGGCGCTTTCTACGCCACAGCCCCCAGCAAGCACAAAATTTCACCCTGACATTAATGTTTATATTATTGAGGTCAGAGAAAATAAGACAGGTAAGTCTTTGCTTTCTAGACTAGCATTGAAGGCAATCCTCATTTTATCTTGAAAGTTACTTTTGGGGAAAAAAAGTCAACATACCAAATGCTGCTATTAGAAGATAACTGGAGTGTGAAAAATAAATGTTTTAGCTTCATATATTTGTACAAGAATTGGAAGAATATGTTAAACAATGTGGAAGAATGTTAGATACAATTTTATGTTAAAAGTCATAAGAAGCCCTGCTTTGTCATCTAATATAACCAAATCATCACTGTTACATCACTTCAAAACATGCAGAACAAAGTGTTTTAATTTCAGTGTCTTTTCATACATTACTACTCAAGTGTAGCACTAGACTGTGTTAACATTCCATTGGTCTTTAACTATTAACCTTCAGTACTTACAATGTGGACGGCTAAAATCGTTTTGCATATCCCTAAGGTTGACAGAAAGATATTTAAAGGTTTGCTTTGGTTTTTCTCTTCCAGGATTTTACAGGTTTATTATATGACTTGTGTGGTGGGTAATAGGTCTCTAATGTAAGTGTTATTTTAATGTAAATGCAACATATTCTTATGCTATTGTTTTGGGGTATTTTACTGTGGTTTTATCTATTTAGAGCAAGTACAACCTAGCTTAGTTGTAGGGAGTATTACAGTTTATTGTATTAAATATAATTTCAGAAGGTGGCTATATATTCATTATCCTTGCTTCCTAAAAACCAGGCTGTAGTGTTGTTCATTTTATGATTTAATTGTTTTACCGCTAGGAATATTTGTGATGCCTTCTATTCCACTCAAATATTTTAGCTCTCTGACAGAACTCTTAAAAGCTGTTTGTTTACATTGATTAATACTTGGAGTTGTCATGATCAAATACGATTTATTGCTGTCTAAAGGTGAGCCCACACCATCTTTTACATTTGATAAGCTGAGTTGAGAATATATAGCAAATGCAGTTCAATAAATCAATTCAGGTTTGTCTCTTTCTAGTTTAGAAATTACGATCATGGATTTTAGTTAATTTGCTATATTTTCATTTTCATATAAGAATTAAATGAATGAGTATTCGTTGTTTTCTTGACCTGGCTCTGAGAAGACAGGATAGAAGATTTTTTTTTTTTTTTTTAAGCAGGGTTCTCTCTTACTGTTGGAATATTCCCTTTCGAGTATCATTTTTCTGAAGACTGATGCTATCCTCATTAGAGTGCTCAGGAGTGCACCTATTGGAAACAAACAAGTAGCGTTATTGTCAAGTATGTTTGCATGTAGTGCTGTTGGTGGACACTTCATGGCTTCTATAGGTTTCTACTCTCCAGAATTTTCTGTGTGAAAGCTTTTGCTTGTCAGTGAATAGTAGAGAAGAGAACACACCCACAGAGTATTAAAATTAACCTCCACTTCCCAATGCAGTTTAAAAAGGACAGGATTTGATCATGATTTTCTTGCTAATGATATTGTTTCTTGGAAATCATAACATATTTCCTCTTTTCTACATCCTTTTCCATCTCTCGGAACTGGTGTAGGAAAAAGAAAATGAATTGCCAGTAAGTCGGAATGAGGATTGCGTTAGGCTGGAAAAGAGACAGGAATATAACGGTGAAAGAAAAACAAAAAAGAGGTAAAAGGAAGCAAAAAGTAAATGACTACCAACACTTAGTTTCATAATTTAAAAAAATGCTTGAATGGATATGCAGATTGTTTTTCAATTGATACTACTCTGTTAGTGTAGCTAATAAGTTGAGTTGAATAATATAAAACCCAGTAAAAATGTTCTGCATTTAAAAACTCTTCCAAGTGGGAAACTGCCAGTTAGGAAGTCAAATTACAAAATGGAAAAAGTGAAACTTGATCTCTCTGAAAGAATTGGCAGTCATCAAAAAAAAAGAACTAAGTTATAAATGGTTGCTGGAAGTGGAGGGTCTGAGTAAGCTAAACCTGAAACAATTTATACAAAGGTGTACATTTATAAGTGAGTTGTGGACTTGATTCAGCTAGACCTGGGAGACGTATATAGGTGTTTCTTCTCCTTCTGCTTCTAAAATGTGAGACTATAATCCACCTTGAAATTAATTTTGTTTTGCATAATAATATTAGGTCAGAAAACCGTGCAATACTTGGTTACTTCCATCAGGCAGAATTCTAATGTGAGAGTGTGTATATGTGTGTACAACAAGGGGATGTATCTGTGGAATAATTATGTATCTACCTACCTACCTACCTTCCTACCTACCTACCTGCGTACCTACCTACCTACCTACCTACCTACCTACCTACCTACCTACCTACCTGTCATCATCTGTATTTTTGTGTGTTCTGTATATGCTGTTCTCCTTAACTAAAAGCATTGTTTATTGTCTTCATAAGACAATGAAGTTTACTCACCTCTAACTGCTCACCTATACTAATATTATTTATTTTCTATGAGAAATTTTATCCTCCAACATTTTGAGCTTTGGCAAGGGAAAATCCTAAAGCAGATGTTCAATTAATGAATTTCAAGGCAGGTGTATACCTTAATAAGGAAAAGTGCATATGTGCCTGGAGAACCAACCTTTTTATGTATCAAGGCACAATTTTCCAGACTGGAAAGTCCTTGGTGCATGTGTGAACTTGTATAAATCTATTCACAGGAATAGAATACACCTTTATATATACTGTATATCCAAGTAAGCAAAAATACCACCCATGCTATTCTAAACCAAGGCATTCAATAATTTTTTGCTGCACTCAGCGAGTCATATAAATCTTGTTTTTTTTTTTTTTTTTACTACTATGAAACAAAACATGCTACTCAGGACACACTTATGTTATACTTGCTCAAATGGATCTTAATAGCAACTTACGGTGCTCTAGCTAGAGGGCAACTGTAGTTAGCAGTTAAAAAAATCTGAAAGAACTTTTCAGCTCATAAAAGTTTTATGAGCTGAAAAATGCTATGGGGTGTGTTTAACAGTGGTTCAGGGGATACTGAAAACTTTACTCCTGTCTATTTCAGGAGTAATTTGCACACCTGCATTTTGAAAAATTATTGAAAGGCTTTCTTTGTGAACATGCATGAAGGCCAGAATTTGAAGCTGTAGGAAGAGTTTCTTCAACTCCAGATTTTTTTTAAAAGAGCACTCCTCTAAATCACCTGAAATGTTACAAGGTAGTGGAACAGAACTGTGAATGTTTTTAAAAACTGACAAACAGGTATTTTTAAATCAAAGAATAATTTAGAAATGTATGGATATTAAATACCAACATTATTATGCAAATGCTCTTAGTTATAACCTTAAAATAGGCAGCTTATTACCTTTTTTAACAAACAAATTCATATATACTACTTATTATGTGTCAGGCCTGCTTGATGCTGTCTTGTTAGGTGTTCTTTTTCCTACTGGTTTTGTAATTTGTATCTACCCAAATGTATGTGTGCAGGTGAAAAGCAATATTAAATTAAATGATAGAAAGATTAAGATGTTGGTAAAATTATTAATGTAATGCTATTAAAGATTAATTACATTTTGAGAAATATACAAAAAGCTAAAGGCTTATTGTCTAAATATGGTGTTATGGAGAGGATAAAGAACAAGGAACATTGGCTCTGAGGGCAGGAGCCATCTGGGCAGATACCCATATTTACATCATTGATTGCAGAGTCATCACTTTTTTTTTTTTGCGACGGAGTCTTGCTCTGTTGCCCAGGCTGGAGTACAGTGGAGTGATCTCGGCTCACTGCAATCTCTGCCTCCTGGGTTCAAGCGATTCTCCTGCCTCAGCCTCCCGAGTAGCTGGGATTACAGGCGCCTGCCACCATGCCTGGCGAATTTTTGTATTTTTAGTAGAGACAGGGTTTCACCATCTTGGCCAGGCTGGGCTTGAACTCCTGACCTCATGATCCACCTGCCACGGCCTCCCAAAGTGTTGGGATTACAGGCATGAGCCACTGCGCCCAGCCAAGTCATCACTTTTTAAAAGGTAATGTTTATTTAAGATAATCTCATATAATTTTTTAAAATCACACATTTTCTGTTCTTACAGAATTTTAAAGAACATTTTAATTATAGAAAAATTACTTTCTGATTTGTTATTATAAGATCCAGGTCCTTTCTTCAAACAAAATGTTATTGAGAGCCCCTGTATCTTGAACAGACAAAAGAGTAGCTGTGTTGGTTAATGTTTGAGGGGGACATCGAGAACCTCACTCCCTTGGGACCTCCTCATCTCCTGTGGTGGTTTTTAAAATAACATGTACCTCACAACACAGCTAGAAAAAGAATGATATCTAGACCATTCAAAATAAAGCAAAAACAGTTACTCATTCCTGAGAGAATTAAGTTCTTAAAAGTAAAAATGTTTCAAAAATTGGTCTGATTATCTATATCTTTATCTCATTACAATGATACACATTTAACATTTACCTTTGAATAGCACTATGCATGGTGCTGAATAAAACACATTAAACAAATATTGTTTCAATCTTATTGATGCCTATGTGTCATCAAGATAATATATAATGGTATGTCAGAGTCTCACATGTATGTGCAAAACTAAGTCATCATCAAACTCACACTTCGGGCTTCATACTTTCAGACCACTTTTTCTATATATTATCATGTTTAAACTTCAAAGATAATTTGTGAGACAACTAGGGAAAGCAGATAGTCAAACGAAGGTACACTGAGTCTGACATTCTTGGCATTGGGTCTAGCAGCCCTGGCCCTCTTTGGAGCATTTTTGCCATGAAGTGATTCTCTCTCCTGATGAGCTCTGAGAAAACAACAACCCCCTGCCCAATGGCTTAGGTACTGCCCTGTCTGTCAATTCCTGAAAGAGCAAACTCTGGGAAGACTGGTTTCTCATTGGCATTCTAGTGGTTTGTTAAGAGTATATAATTTAGATTTGGTTGCTGCTAATATGGGGCAGTATGCATGCTCTTCAGATACCTGACATAGCAAGGAAAGAGTGTGCTGAAATTGGTAGTACGTTATTCTGCAGTTCTGGGCAGCTTCTTTCCTGTAGAGTTTTGGAGCACATCTCTGAAAGTGGATGGGTCTGGTGCCTGCACACCTCCGTGGTTCCTTTTCCTGAGCTCCAGCTGTGGCTGTCTGTCAGAGAAGCACATTTTTCTGCAGATAATTAGAATGGCTTCCCCCATCTCTCACGGACTGTCCCAAGTCTAGAAAAGAATTGAGTTCCTCTTCTATTAGTCAAATAAAAGGGAAGAGAATGTTTGTCTTCCTTTCCTTTCTGTAGTGTTAAGAAAATAAACGAACTTAATGATTCTAAATTATCAGTGAGCTTAACACTGTACTATAGACCAAAGATTACCTTTTCAAAAAGTCCTTTGAGGTGAAATATTTTGTATACGTAATACATAGATGCACATATAAACACACACATATAGAATCTCAATATTTTAACACTTCTTTGGGTAGTTGTACTAACTCACTAACCCTGAGGAAAAAGTTAAGAAATTGAAAGTGTTTTCTTCAAAAGTTGAGATTTAACAATAAAAGGTGTTACTTTGATAACTAAAAGGAACTTTATTATCCTCTTCCTAAAATAAACCAATGCCTATTCTGAAAATGGCACTTGCAATTACAATTTGCCATTATCAAAGCTACCACTGAGGTAGAGGCATTATCTAAAACAAATACCACTTATCATTTATTGGCAGTTACCTCGAGAGAGACCCATACACCATCTTCTAGCAGAGCACAGTCAATCAAATTACCTTCGGGTAAAGCTATAGCATGTCTAGTCGTTTGACAGATATTAAAGGTGGTCATAAAAGAAACATAAACCATAGGCTGTGCTCCAAAGGCATATTGGCCAGCTAACATTAACACAATCAAATACAGTTGTCATACTAAACATATAGTTACACAGTAGGTGTATGGTGTGACAGATTGTGAATGGTAGGTGAGGTCAGAAAAAGAAGGAATCAAGAAAGGCAGGAAGTTACAGAATATTTCATGAGAAAGAGGAGACTTACGTCAGTCTCTGTTGGAGGGATAGATTACAATCCAATTATGAGAGGCCAGTTATTAGCCAATTGCTTCCCAACTTAGGCTCACCAGTGGGGTTAAGGAGCCCCAAGTATAAACAGCTGTTTTTCTAAATAGAGTTTCTAAACAGCTTCTGAAGGAGGCCATGTCATCCCAGTGCTGTTTGACATGGCCTGCTTCAGAAGCTGAATACCTTCTTAGGCCTCACGCAGAAACTAGTACAGTTCATGAAAACCCGAGATACTCTGCCAGCTTCTTGAGGAAGCAGTGTTGTCACACTTTTCTGAGCTTCAGTGATTCACACATTTTGATAAGACAGCATGTTCTGTGGGTTAAGTACATTTACCTTTTCAAAATATACTCCCATGAAGTATCATGGTTCAGAATTACACACTTACAAAGTTAAATGGCATAAAACTACTTTGTAAAAAGTGCCTACACTCTAAAAGGTGATTTAAAGGTTTATGACATCTTAATTCAAGTGAATACTGAATCAGTAGGATTATAGAGCAGGTGCTCTAAGTTAGGGAATCTGGAGTCAGTCTCTCCTTTGCTTATGTGCAATGTGGACCCAGGGATTTCTCAATTTCTCTGTCAGAATTTTTAACATGGTAAAATGGCTATTATTATATGGAATGATATTTCCTAAGCTCTGACACATACTCTTTCTCCAAATCACAGGGTTTATGAAACAAAGATACACACACACACACACACACACACACACACACACACATATATGTATACACACATATATACAGGTAATATACAGATATATTTTTTCTAATTTATTCAACAGTCAAATAATTACAATATACTAACTACATTAGAACTGGATTTTTTTGAAGTACATTCTGGTTAATATTCTGAACCAACATGGAGATGTAGTTAGTTTGCTTTGTAGGATACATGGAAGAGGCAGTTATTGTGATAGAAAGAGCCTTTGGAAAGAGACCTGGGTTCACTGTCAACATTGTTACAGGAGGCACTCTGTATCCACAATTCTGCATCCTCTGATTTGACCAAACATGGATAAAGAATATTTGAAAAAAAAAAAAAAAGCACCACAATAAAAAAGAACAATACAGCAATAAAAAATAACACAAATAAAAACCCAACACACTATAATAACTATATAGCATTTACATTGTATTAGTTATTATAAGTAATTTAAATGATTACTTATAATACCTGATTTAAAGTATATGTATATGAATGTATGCGTAGGATTCCTGCAAATACTATGCCATTCTATAAAAAAGGACTTGAGTACCATGGATTTTTGTATCCTCCTAGAACCAATCCCCCATGGCTACTGAGGGATAACTATATTTACAGTCTGTTTGGTCTTGTATAAATTACTTAACCTCCACAGGCCTCAGTTGTTATATAATTAAAAATTTATAATAATACTACAACCTCACCACATTGGTTAAAGAAGGGGATCTTTGAGTGATTGCCACATGCAAGTCACTGTGACAGGCATTTCACATATTTAATACTCCTTCAGTGACTAGAAAGCACCAAGCACAATGCCTGATACATAGTAATGACTTAGTACAAATTAATCTCCTGTGGGCTTTAAAAATTATTTCATTTCCAACTTCTAAGTACAGGAAAATATAGACTGTTTTGTTCTAAATAGGTAAAAGCCAAATGATCTTAAAATTCAAGATCATTTATGCCACAAGAAGCCAAGTATAATTGTACTTTAGTGTCTGCTTAACTGAAATAACTTCTTAAAAATCCGAACCCGACATAGGTTGTGTTTTTTTGGGTGGTGCCATTTTGGGTGCAAATCAGAAGCAGCTGCAGCCCTTACTTAAAATTTAAATATAGTATTGGCTCTATAGGACCTAAGAGTAGAATTTATTAGCTTTTTGCTTTTCCTCAGTTGTGAAAGTTGGGCTTATGATTTTGATAACTACCAATTTAATTTTTTTCTCATAAACATCATTTTACAAATTCTTGATACATTTCCCCAGGTATTGAGCCTAGCTTCTTGCATATTTATAGAATGAATGGACATTCCCTGCTGTCTTTTTGTTGTTGTCAAGGAAACCCCCAGTTCTCTACACAGGGATTACATTCTTCTTTCTTAATAGCTCTTAGATCGTTCATTTGTGCAATGAATAAAAAATGTACTCACAGGTCCAGACAGTGTTCAGAACTTTTTTGGTGGGTGAGGGGCGTAGCTAAGGGGAGAGACATGCCTAGTGAGAGGAGCAATAGGAATAAAAGAAAAGGAGAAAGAAATGCTGGCTGAGGTTCCATTTTAATGAGGTAAAGCTGAAAAATTTATGCTTTAAAAAAGACATTGCCTATTTTTGTCACTTTAGAAAATGTATAACATTACTTTTCATTGAGGTCAGTGTTTCATGTACAAAAATGTTAGTTTTTAAGTGGCTTTGTTAAGCGAATAGCTCCAAGAATGGGGCCCAGGTTGGTGAGGGTGGGATGGATGAGGGAGTGGTGATGCGTTTTAGTAGAAACTATTTTTTCATTTCTATAGAAGTATTTGAACTTTTTTTACAACCTAATTGAGGTGATACAAAATATAAGAATATTCCTTCATCCTGGGGCATCATGTGGTCATCTGAGAGCTCATTTGATTACATTAAAAATCGTGTTCCTTAGAGAGAGAGTGCCAGTATTTAGACTTTTTGAGTGTGAATCAGGAGGGAAACACACATCCATTGACAAGAAGATGGATATAATTATTTTTAAAAAGAGTGATTTGATCCTTTGGAGGAAAATAAATTCTGGTGGACCTTCTAAGTAACTGCTAGAATGATTGGGTAATGTATACAGCTTTTGCTTCTCCATAAATAATGTAAGTATTAAAAAGGAGATTTTAAACTAGAAGGAAGGAATCTCTGGAGTGAGAGGAAAAGTTTAATTGTATTTCAGTATCTATGTCTATGAAAAGTTGATATACGGTGTCACTGTGGTATACCCAAACTTGTTTATACACATGTATAACCAGTACACAGTAAGTACCATGAGTGGCTTTTAGTGATTTTATCTTTTTACCTTGTAGTACAGTCTCCCTGGTGTCTCACAAGGCTAGTTTACTTACTTTGGCCATATGCTTCACATAGTAGGTTTCTGGAGGTTTTGTTTTTTCTAAGATGAGAGAGTGAAAAGGTAATGTATATTTCTGGAGAGTATATTGGAATATAGTATAATCATCATTTTCACTATGCTGCACTTCGGGACGGCTGTCTATTGTATTTTTTAAATAGGAAAACAAAATCTTTTTGTTACACATTAAAATAAAATCCATTTTAAAAAAGAAATGTGATCCTAATATATCTCTGCTGAGTAGATTGGTGTACATTTACGTTTAATTAAAAGCTCTTAAACTTAAATTGTAAAATTCCCCAAAGAGAACGTGAACTTTAACCAGCTGCCTATGCATCTTAGCAACTATGTTTTGTGTCTGGTAACAGTATGACTGGAAGACTTGTGCTCTGTCTACAAAACTTTGTTATGAAGTACTTAAAAATACTTGTGAATAATTTGAGGTCAGCTAGCAATAAAGCTTTGTGTGAAATGTCATTAAAAAAAGCCTATTAACCATGGTACTGTTATATTCAAGTCAAGCTGTTAAAATACATTCATATAAACATAGAAAAGATTATGCATACACCCTGTAGAGTTCTGTGGTTTGATTCTTGAAATCCAAACAAAAGTTATATTGCCTTTTGAGTAAAATTCTAGAATAGAGCAGTCTTTTATAAGACTAAGAGCTTCATCTAAGAGCTTGAAATGTCAATTACACCATTGGGTTGCTCTGTTCCTATGAAATAGAGCACATCTCCATTTCGGAATGAGATACCTCCTCTCACAGTAGCACAGGTGTACCCCCCAACCCCCTTACTATACACCGCAAAGAAACTTTTCTGGTTTGCAATAATCTCTGTTGAGATTCTCTAATAACGTGTGTGGTGGGTGGAGGTGGTGACAGGAAATGGGGATGAAGAGGTAATTTCAGAGGAAGAATAAACTAAGAGGGGGCAAGTAGGATTTGGTGAGATGCAAGGAGTTAGTGACAAATATTTGGGTGATAGGGCAGGGAAAAATTTATCTGCATATATTAATAGTAGATAGGTTTTATACCCCACCTCTCCCTGCTATGAGATGTTAAAAGTATGGGAAGAAATTATACTGACAGAATAAAATTTAGATTGTATGTATAGGAAATGTCAGCAGAAAATTTTAACTTGAAAGCCCTGGGTAATTAACATTTCTCTCTCCTTCAAACTGATATTAAGAAATCCAGCCAGGTGCAGCGGTACACACTGTAATCCCAGCACTTTGGGAGGCTGAGGCAGGAGGATTGCTCAAACTCAAGAGTTTGAGGCTGCCTGTAATGGTACCCCTGCACTCTAGCCTGGGTAACAGATCAACAACCTGTCTAAAAAAAAATTCAATAAAACCATTTGCAAGTTGTCGCGAACTTATTTAAAGAATAATAATAGTTGCTTAATTGTGAGACTATTACTTTCAGAAAAAGGAAACAAAATAATTTCAACTCCCATTTTGCATATTTTTTGAAATTAAAGAATTCCCATTTAGTAGACAATTTTTTTTCTGGGGATCTAATATACAAAATTAAGACTGTAGTTAATAAAATTGCATTGTATTAGAGATTTTGTTAAAAAAGTAAATTTCAGTTGCTCTTCTCACAAAAAGATGGTATATATGTTAATCTGCTTCCTTTTACCATCTATATGCATCCCATAACATCATATTGTAAACCTCAAATACACAATAGAGTTTATTTTAGAAAAAGAAAATTTCTATCATACTTATTAAATGAGCATATTATTTTATTTATATGTAGATTTTCTTCTCAATTACTTAATTTATTTTGATGTGCTGCCAGCTTCATGATGAGAAACATAAGATGAAACTGCATAATACATTTCTGTTTTCTATCATTTTGAAGGCAAGTCAGATCAAATAGTTGCGAGGTGGGTGGAGAAAGGAATCCTAATCTAAATTTAATGATTAGTACATTTGCAATAAGTACATTCCAAAAGTTTCCCATTAAAATAGGAGAAAAGAGTTTAGTAAGGCCAGTTCTCTAACTTACTGGCAGGAACATTTGTTTCAGAGAGAGAGAGAGGAAGGGGGCAAGGAGAGACTTGGAAAGTATAGTTAGGTCTCTCTGAAGTTGACAAGAGAGTGTTTGCCCTAGGGTCTGATACATAACAGGTACTCAGTAAATTTTGAGAAATCAATGAGCATCTGAAGAGATATTACATTCTGGGCAGCATGCATGGTTGTGGTGGTAGTGAATTTAATTTTGTGTGCAAAAACCGATATGAAGCAATGCTGTGTTTGTGAAATGTATGCAAAGATTCTGTCTCTGAAATGCTTATACTGCTGTGATTGAAACATTATCATATTTATTTAGGTTAGAAAATGGAATTTACTACATCTGAGTTGGTTTTTGGTGAGAAATTCTGATATGATAGTCTAAAATGGCAAGGAAGTCCTTATAGATCTATGAGCAATTGGAAGTGTTAGAGTTCTTGATCTGAGAGAAATATGACCTAAAAGAATATTATACTTTGTTAATTGGAGCTAAAATCAGAAACTATAAAGTGAATGCCATGGTCTTTAGTAGAATTAAGTATTCTTAATATGAGTTGATAGTTAGCTAAATTATTATACAGTACTGATTTACAATTAGAGTTCTTCTTTATTTTCTTTCCCAGAGGAAAACAAAAAATTTCAGTGAGCATTATGACCATCCATCAGTTTCTTACCATATTGACATGTGACATGTTGGCATACCTTTGTGTCTTCTTTCTCTGCTTTTCTCCACCCCACTTTTTTTAGAGCCACCAACATACTTGACAGAACTTCCATCTGTAATTACTCAATAAGAAGATCATGAGATATGTTTGTATCAGTCTTATTTTTTTGAAGTAAAGAATTTACTTAGAAATTCAAGTAAATCTATAATAGCAATGAGTGTTCTTACCCTATTCTTGGCCTAGGAGTTTGTAAATATACAATATTAATCAGATATTTCCTTATTTATCCTTGTGTTTTGCTGGAGAAACCCAGCTGAATGGCTCGTTTTAACTTCATTATTTACAAAAGGGTACAAAATATGGTAGAGGTTCTTTATATGCTTGACACTGACCCATGTTTCTTATTTAAAATCTTTTCTCTGTACTTAAATGAAAGTTTTGGTGTCACCAAACAGGGTAAGTAAGAATTTAGTGTACCTTTGTCTAATATTTCTTAATCATGAATTCTAGTTTTATTTAAGTTAATGAAGCAAAATAAAAGAGTTGCTTGCATGTAAAATGGTAGTGTGAGCAGTTTAAGATATGCACATTTTTAAACTCCAGTTAAATCCCATGAAGTTGTACTGAATAGTTTAACTGAGTCTGGCTTAATTCAACTATATTCAAATAGTTTTAGCAATGAGAGACTCCTGGCTTGGATAAAATTATTGATGTGAATATTTCAAGAGATTCTTTTGTACAGAAGGCATTTTAAATGCTTCTGCTCATATAGTTTAAACATTTTCTTCACATTCTGTTTTCATAGCACAAAGTTTACCTTCAATGCAAACTGAATTAAGAGGATGTTATCATCTGAATATTTTATGGTGTCCTATTTTAAAACATATACACCATGGGTACTATATATAAGATCCGAGTAACAACTTTAGTGACCTAATATTGAAGAAACCTAGTCTTTTTAGTTACCTATATTTTTAAATGACAAGGCATTTAATCATTTTCCTGCACTGAGCAATTAGTAACAATTGCAACATCTGTGTCAGAAATAATCTGTATTCATTTTATGTTTTTATAACACACTAGAGTTATGTATTTATCTCGCTTCTCTTTGTGGTAGAAATATTTTCTCATTTATTTGAATACCCATATGCTGTAGTTTAAGTAGTTGAAAAGCTGAATATACAGAATGGAATGGAATGGAGAGAGAAGAAATGAACTGTAGTGTGTAAAATTTCAATAGGAAGGGTGTTTAGTTAGGATAAGAATAACCCAGTCCTACACAGAAGTATTTTAGTGAAATAATTTAGTGAAGATGTGGTGGGATACAAAAGAGAGTTTTCTTTCTTGTTTCTATTAGAATAAAAGGGATAAATGTATATGTCTTTGCATTACATAAAAGTCTTATTGTCTGGGTTTTTTAATTTAAAAAAAATTCAAGGAGCTTCTGTGGAATTTGTCTTGGTAGTTCCTACACTTCTATATTTGTCTTGATTCATAAAATAGATTAGAATATAAGCAACACTGATTCCTCTTCAATAGGGTTTTTTCTTCTCTGATGAAACAGCAAAAGCTAGATATTGTTTCTTCTATACATAGAAGGAAATAGCTTCTTGCAACAGGAACAATTCAGGAGAAAACAGTTGTTTTCTCCCCTTTAGATGATAGGTTGGGAAGCAGGGTTGGCTCCGTCATAATGATTTCTCCTAAACACTTCTCAGGTTTGGCCTATGCATGTGTGTTATAGATTGGGGATAGTTTGAAAACTCATTCTGTAGTATTATTCCTATGGGCAGGGTGGTGAGTAGTGTGTAAATTCTTTGTCTTCTTTATGGGTCAGTATATCCACAGGCACATTTTCATACTGCTTTGTCACTGAAAGTAAGGCAGCTGCAGTGGCAGGACCCTGTTCTAGGACAGTTGAATGCCTCTATGATGAGACCTCAGAATTTCCTCTTTCCTAGTGCCCAAGACAAGGAGCTTTGCTGATGTATTTCTGATAGCAGAAAAGGCCATTGAGCTTAGTGGTTGGTACCATATGGCAATTTACAATCTGGGAAATATTCTGATGATACATACTTTTCGAGGAATGCTAGTTAGAATATTTAGATAGGACTCCTGAACTTTCTTTGAGAAGATGTTGATGACAAGAACTAAAATCAGCCTAATCTGGGTCACATCCCAGGAAGGATAAAGGTCTATAGGTGTGGAAGGCTCTTTCTGGTCCTTTCAGTGAGCTATTTCCAATAGAGCCCGCCTATCCAGAGCTTCCCACTCTTGTGCATAGGATGTGGTTAAGCTCATGTCTCAGTGCCACAGTAGGTAGAGGATGCCATTGCAATGTAAAAGGGCTATAAATAAAGCTCTCTTGTTTTTCCATAAAACAGTCTGCTCTAGAACAGATTATAAAGGGGCCAGAAGGAATCTCTTCTCATTTTCTTATTGAATAGAGAGTGTATAAATTATTCCCTTACATAAAGGACAATTACTTTTTCTATATAGATCATATATAGAAATAGAGCTATAGAAAAAGTAATTAATTCTATATGATATGGCCTCAATTTTTAATTTTTAAATTGTTTTTATATGAAATAGTCTTAATTTTACTCTTTTTGCAGTTCACACAAAGATGAATTCCTGCACTTCAAGATTACATTGTATATGTGATTCCTTGCTTCATTTTAAGGACTATGTTGTTTTCTTAAATGTGTTGATGAGTCTTTATAACCTGTTTTAATAATGTTAAATTGAATTCATTTTTCTTATTGTTAATACAAAAACAGTAAATTTGAAGACTGAGAACCATATAAGAGGGTGATTGCACTTATTATGAAAAGATTTGAATCCTTCTTTGTGTGTGTGGGTGTGACCAGCCTTGCTATCAATTTCTTCTGTCATACACTGCCAAATTTTCTATTTAAGTATTGTGAAAACTCTGTTTTTTTCAGGTCGAATGAGTGATTTGAGTGTAATTGGTCATCCAATAGATTCAGAATCTAAAGAAGATGAACCTTGTAGTGAAGAAACAGATCCAGTGCATGATCTAATGGCTGAAATTTTACCTGAATTCCCTGACATAATTGAAATAGACCTATACCACAGTGAAGAAAATGAAGAAGAAGAAGAAGAGTGTGCAAATGCTACTGATGTGACAACCACCCCATCTGTGCAGTACATAAATGGGAAGCATCTCGTTACCACTGTGCCCAAGGACCCAGAAGCTGCAGAAGCTAGGCGTGGCCAGTTTGAAAGTGTTGCACCTTCTCAGAATTTCTCGGACAGCTCTGAAAGTGATACTCATCCATTTGTAATAGCCAAAACGGAATTGTCTACTGCTGTGCAACCTAATGAATCTACAGAAACAACTGAGTCTCTTGAAGTTACATGGAAGCCTGAGACTTACCCTGAAACATCAGAACATTTTTCAGGTGGTGAGCCTGATGTTTTCCCCACAGTCCCATTCCATGAGGAATTTGAAAGTGGAACAGCCAAAAAAGGGGCAGAATCAGTCACAGAGAGAGATACTGAAGTTGGTCATCAGGCACATGAACATACTGAACCTGTATCTCTGTTTCCTGAAGAGTCTTCAGGAGAGATTGCCATTGACCAAGAATCTCAGAAAATAGCCTTTGCAAGGGCTACAGAAGTAACATTTGGTGAAGAGGTAGAAAAAAGTACTTCTGTCACATACACTCCCACTATAGTTCCAAGTTCTGCATCAGCATATGTTTCAGAGGAAGAAGCAGTTACCCTAATAGGAAATCCTTGGCCAGATGACCTGTTGTCTACCAAAGAAAGCTGGGTAGAAGCAACTCCTAGACAAGTTGTAGAGCTCTCAGGGAGTTCTTCGATTCCAATTACAGAAGGCTCTGGAGAAGCAGAAGAAGATGAAGATACAATGTTCACCATGGTAACTGATTTATCACAGAGAAATACTACTGATACACTCATTACTTTAGACACTAGCAGGATAATCACAGAAAGCTTTTTTGAGGTTCCTGCAACCACCATTTATCCAGTTTCTGAACAACCTTCTGCAAAAGTGGTGCCTACCAAGTTTGTAAGTGAAACAGACACTTCTGAGTGGATTTCCAGTACCACTGTTGAGGAAAAGAAAAGGAAGGAGGAGGAGGGAACTACAGGTACGGCTTCTACATTTGAGGTATATTCATCTACACAGAGATCGGATCAATTAATTTTACCCTTTGAATTAGAAAGTCCAAATGTAGCTACATCTAGTGATTCAGGTACCAGGAAAAGTTTTATGTCCTTGACAACACCAACACAGTCTGAAAGGGAAATGACAGATTCTACTCCTGTCTTTACAGAAACAAATACATTAGAAAATTTGGGGGCACAGACCACTGAGCACAGCAGTATCCATCAACCTGGGGTTCAGGAAGGGCTGACCACTCTCCCACGTAGTCCTGCCTCTGTCTTTATGGAGCAGGGCTCTGGAGAAGCTGCTGCCGACCCAGAAACCACCACTGTTTCTTCATTTTCATTAAACGTAGAGTATGCAATTCAAGCCGAAAAGGAAGTAGCTGGCACTTTGTCTCCGCATGTGGAAACTACATTCTCCACTGAGCCAACAGGACTGGTTTTGAGTACAGTAATGGACAGAGTAGTTGCTGAAAATATAACCCAAACATCCAGGGAAATAGTGATTTCAGAGCGATTAGGAGAACCAAATTATGGGGCAGAAATAAGGGGCTTTTCCACAGGTTTTCCTTTGGAGGAAGATTTCAGTGGTGACTTTAGAGAATACTCAACAGTGTCTCATCCCATAGCAAAAGAAGAAACGGTAATGATGGAAGGCTCTGGAGATGCAGCATTTAGGGACACCCAGACTTCACCATCTACAGTACCTACTTCAGTTCACATCAGTCACATATCTGACTCAGAAGGACCCAGTAGCACCATGGTCAGCACTTCAGCCTTCCCCTGGGAAGAGTTTACATCCTCAGCTGAGGGCTCAGGTGAGCAACTGGTCACAGTCAGCAGCTCTGTTGTTCCAGTGCTTCCCAGTGCTGTGCAAAAGTTTTCTGGTACAGCTTCCTCCATTATCGACGAAGGATTGGGAGAAGTGGGTACTGTCAATGAAATTGATAGAAGATCCACCATTTTACCAACAGCAGAAGTGGAAGGTACGAAAGCTCCAGTAGAGAAGGAGGAAGTAAAGGTCAGTGGCACAGTTTCAACAAACTTTCCCCAAACTATAGAGCCAGCCAAATTATGGTCTAGGCAAGAAGTCAACCCTGTAAGACAAGAAATTGAAAGTGAAACAACATCAGAGGAACAAATTCAAGAAGAAAAGTCATTTGAATCCCCTCAAAACTCTCCTGCAACAGAACAAACAATCTTTGATTCACAGACATTTACTGAAACTGAACTCAAAACCACAGATTATTCTGTACTAACAACAAAGAAAACTTACAGTGATGATAAAGAAATGAAGGAGGAAGACACTTCTTTAGTTAACATGTCTACTCCAGATCCAGATGCAAATGGCTTGGAATCTTACACAACTCTCCCTGAAGCTACTGAAAAGTCACATTTTTTCTTAGCTACTGCATTAGTAACTGAATCTATACCAGCTGAACATGTAGTCACAGATTCACCAATCAAAAAGGAAGAAAGTACAAAACATTTTCCGAAAGGCATGAGACCAACAATTCAAGAGTCAGATACTGAGCTCTTATTCTCTGGACTGGGATCAGGAGAAGAAGTTTTACCTACTCTACCAACAGAGTCAGTGAATTTTACTGAAGTGGAACAAATCAATAACACATTATATCCCCACACTTCTCAAGTGGAAAGTACCTCAAGTGACAAAATTGAAGACTTTAACAGAATGGAAAATGTGGCAAAAGAAGTTGGACCACTCGTATCTCAAACAGACATCTTTGAAGGTAGTGGGTCAGTAACCAGCACAACATTAATAGAAATTTTAAGTGACACTGGAGCAGAAGGACCCACGGTGGCACCTCTCCCTTTCTCCACGGACATCGGACATCCTCAAAATCAGACTGTCAGGTGGGCAGAAGAAATCCAGACTAGTAGACCACAAACCATAACTGAACAAGACTCTAACAAGAATTCTTCAACAGCAGAAATTAACGAAACAACAACCTCATCTACTGATTTTCTGGCTAGAGCTTATGGTTTTGAAATGGCCAAAGAATTTGTTACATCAGCACCAAAACCATCTGACTTGTATTATGAACCTTCTGGAGAAGGATCTGGAGAAGTGGATATTGTTGATTCATTTCACACTTCTGCAACTACTCAGGCAACCAGACAAGAAAGCAGCACCACATTTGTTTCTGATGGGTCCCTGGAAAAACATCCTGAGGTGCCAAGCGCTAAAGCTGTTACTGCTGATGGATTCCCAACAGTTTCAGTGATGCTGCCTCTTCATTCAGAGCAGAACAAAAGCTCCCCTGATCCAACTAGCACACTGTCAAATACAGTGTCATATGAGAGGTCCACAGACGGTAGTTTCCAAGACCGTTTCAGGGAATTCGAGGATTCCACCTTAAAACCTAACAGAAAAAAACCCACTGAAAATATTATCATAGACCTGGACAAAGAGGACAAGGATTTAATATTGACAATTACAGAGAGTACCATCCTTGAAATTCTACCTGAGCTGACATCGGATAAAAATACTATCATAGATATTGATCATACTAAACCTGTGTATGAAGACATTCTTGGAATGCAAACAGATATAGATACAGAGGTACCATCAGAACCACATGACAGTAATGATGAAAGTAATGATGACAGCACTCAAGTTCAAGAGATCTATGAGGCAGCTGTCAACCTTTCTTTAACTGAGGAAACATTTGAGGGCTCTGCTGATGTTCTGGCTAGCTACACTCAGGCAACACATGATGAATCAATGACTTATGAAGATAGAAGCCAACTAGATCACATGGGCTTTCACTTCACAACTGGGATCCCTGCTCCTAGCACAGAAACAGAATTAGACGTTTTACTTCCCACGGCAACATCCCTGCCAATTCCTCGTAAGTCTGCCACAGTTATTCCAGAGATTGAAGGAATAAAAGCTGAAGCAAAAGCCCTGGATGACATGTTTGAATCAAGCACTTTGTCTGATGGTCAAGCTATTGCAGACCAAAGTGAAATAATACCAACATTGGGCCAATTTGAAAGGACTCAGGAGGAGTATGAAGACAAAAAACATGCTGGTCCTTCTTTTCAGCCAGAATTCTCTTCAGGAGCTGAGGAGGCATTAGTAGACCATACTCCCTATCTAAGTATTGCTACTACCCACCTTATGGATCAGAGTGTAACAGAGGTGCCTGATGTGATGGAAGGATCCAATCCCCCATATTACACTGATACAACATTAGCAGTTTCAACATTTGCGAAGTTGTCTTCTCAGACACCATCATCTCCCCTCACTATCTACTCAGGCAGTGAAGCCTCTGGACACACAGAGATCCCCCAGCCCAGTGCTCTGCCAGGAATAGACGTCGGCTCATCTGTAATGTCCCCACAGGATTCTTTTAAGGAAATTCATGTAAATATTGAAGCGACTTTCAAACCATCAAGTGAGGAATACCTTCACATAACTGAGCCTCCCTCTTTATCTCCTGACACAAAATTAGAACCTTCAGAAGATGATGGTAAACCTGAGTTATTAGAAGAAATGGAAGCTTCTCCCACAGAACTTATTGCTGTGGAAGGAACTGAGATTCTCCAAGATTTCCAAAACAAAACCGATGGTCAAGTTTCTGGAGAAGCAATCAAGATGTTTCCCACCATTAAAACACCTGAGGCTGGAACTGTTATTACAACTGCCGATGAAATTGAATTAGAAGGTGCTACACAGTGGCCACACTCTACTTCTGCTTCTGCCACCTATGGGGTCGAGGCAGGTGTGGTGCCTTGGCTAAGTCCACAGACTTCTGAGAGGCCCACGCTTTCTTCTTCTCCAGAAATAAACCCTGAAACTCAAGCAGCTTTAATCAGAGGGCAGGATTCCACGATAGCAGCATCAGAACAGCAAGTGGCAGCGAGAATTCTTGATTCCAATGATCAGGCAACAGTAAACCCTGTGGAATTTAATACTGAGGTTGCAACACCACCATTTTCCCTTCTGGAGACTTCTAATGAAACAGATTTCCTGATTGGCATTAATGAAGAGTCAGTGGAAGGCACGGCAATCTATTTACCAGGTAAGATCACAACATTGATAAATCTGTTTCCAAACCTGGAAACAGTCCCTTGGTGCTAACGTTTATATGTATGTAATTTTTATTGTGATGTTAAATCAATGGAGAGTTTCATATTATTCACATAACAGCAGGCCAGGCCACAGTATTGAGTTCATAATGAGATGAAATGACAGTAAGTATAGATTAGTTTTGGACTTTAGAAGTAGACTTTGTATTTTTCTGGGTTTTAGAAATAATATACAATTACAACATGGAAAAGATGAAATTATTAATGTTATAAAAATTCAATTTGTTTTTACTCACAACTAGAGTATTGCTTTGTCATATGTCTCATAGTTATACATGTTAGGTTTAAAAGTAGAAAAAAAGTCCTATTTTTAAAAACCCTCCCATTGATGGATGCTATTGCTGTAGTATCAAAATCTGTCAGGCCTTTAACATTTGGGAGTAGTACGTAGCTCTAATAATTATTTCAGAGTTTGTGCAGTATCAATATCAGCTCATACTTATATGCAATGTCCTTGTTTAAGACAGTCTACATAATGCATCAAACACAGTGCCTACCAGTAGTGAGTAGTCATTTATTATATAAACATACTGCCTGTTGAGAGAAGTTTTCTGTGTATTTACTGAATGTATGGAAAGCATGAATTTGATACTGATTCATATAAGCCATCTCTTCTGATTGCCACGAAAAGGCTATAAAAGCCCTGTGTGAAAGGGTAAGAGGTGAAGGTTCAGAGAGGTTCAGCAACTTGCCCAAGGTGGCACAGCCACATTGTGGTAAAAGTAGGATTTGAACCCAGCTTAGCTCCACTCTAAAGTCCATAGTCTTTTCACTGCTCTTTGCTGGTTTCAGTATAGTATAAAAATAAACAATTGATATTGAATAATATATGAACCAGGAATCTTGGAATATTTACTTTGTAGAATTTATTTTCCTCTTAATCTAGCCTGAGAATGTTAAGAAATCAGCTCTAATGGTGTTTTCCCATAATGTTATTATTTAAATTAACAATGTCAGTGGAATCCACAAATAGACATCACCACCTAGCTGCTACCTGCAAAAAGAGGAAGAAAAATCAGTACTTTAATGTCTGTCTTGGTTGAGAATATATGTTTTATTTTAATATGTTTTATGCCATGACTATCGTTAAAATTATTCTTCTGATCATATCAATATTACCTTTTGTGCCACCAATGCTTTATTTTGATGTGCTTCAGAAAGAGTAAAATAGAAAGTACAATTTTTAATAAATGGCTTGAAATATTTTGAGGAAAATTGATCAAAGGTAGTTGACATTGGGTTTTTTGTTATCACTGTGTGTTAAATCTGTAAATGATAATCTAGTAATTTGGCTAATATTTATTGTTTTTTAATTTAGTTTAATATACTTCAGTTTGTTAAAAATATGATGTAAAAATAACTGGTAATAACTAGGTACATATAGAGTTAAGTTTGATGAATGAGAAATATGTACCAATTTTCCAGTTTACAATATTTACCAAGATTTATAGTTTGCGTCTTCATTGCAAAACAAATGGTCACTTTAGCTTAATTCAGTAAACAGCAGCTCATATGGGATTACCTGGTCTATCTGTTGCAGATTCAACTTTCAGAGGTTAATACGAACTGTTTAGGGGAGAATAACATTCATAAAAACTGAAGTTTCCTGTTAATTGGAACGACTTCCAGTTCACAGGAAGACTCACTCACTCAGTCCTTGTTTCATGGTCTCAGCATGGTGTCTAGTGTCAGTGGTAGGAATAGTAATAGTACTTCTTCACATTTGTGTGGCACATCACAGTCTGATAAAGCACTTTCACCTAGTGTCATTTGGATTCAGCACAGAGGGCAGCATGTGGCTATGGCGTGTGTTAACTGCAGCCTTGTCATCCTGGCAGCGAGCGTACTTGTACTTTAAAATTCAGAAAGCTAAAATTGTTAGGGAGATTTCAAATAGTTTTGGAACTATAGGAAAAAGTGTCTTAGAAAACTCGGGGGAGTTTTTGGAGAAGTTGATGTACTCATCTGAATTAACCTAATTTTAACGTGAATCCCAAACATGGGAATGTGTACCTATCCAGGTTTATAGTCATTCAGAATTTACTTAACACTCAGAAAGTTTGAGTTTGACTTTCTGGTGTGGGGAAGTCTCAGTTATCTTTTATAGCAGTACCTTGTTTATCCTGATATTCTTTAAGCTAATGTTTCATAAGAAGTTAGACATCTTTCTTCTTTCATGTGTAATTATTTCAGGGTTTCAGGACTTAAGATTCTTGAAAGTATGGGTGTATTCCATAGATAATCTATTTTATTTCAATTATTTTGTAAAACTTTCAACTCTCATTTGGATCTTTGAAGATTTAGAAATGTAAGCAAGTCTGAAACAATATACAAAGAATAAGTATAAACTCAATGAAAATACACTTATCCAAGCAATATTGCAATATAAAATATATGCTTCAAGTGGTGTAAAAGTGTTTGCACTTAGAAAATATATTTAAACTGTTTGTCCTCATAAATTTATGTCTTCGGCCTTCATATTTATCTCCCAGGAGTGTCGGTTTTATTTGTATTTTAATAAGAAAATTATAATAAAAACTTGGGGTTTCATTTTAGGTGAGGTTTTTGTATTTGGGTTTGTTTTTCTACAGTAGAGTTTAATCCATGTGTTGCTTTTCTTCAAGTATAGTTTAAAGGAGTACATTTGGAACGTGTTTTTGGAAAAAGCATGTTAATGTAGCAGAAGAGACTTCAGTGCACACTTTCGAAGAAAAACAGTTTCTGAGCATTAAGTGGTAAAAGGCAATAATAATTCAAATGATGATAACAAGCCAACCTGCTAAAAAGAATGCATGTTCTGTGTATCCAGCCATTTCACATGAACTAACCCCATTTAAAAGAATACATTTTCCATTCACTGTGCACATATGTGTAATCATTTTTGACTAAAATCAATTGCCATTATCATGCCAACTAAATCTGCAGTAGAATATATTAGTTGCCAGATACAGTACAAAAAATATCATTTAAGAGTAATCGTGATTGAATCCCAGAAATGAATAGATGCAATTTGTAACAATTAGTTATAATGCCAAGAAACACTCCAGAGAGTAAAGTTAATGTTAATTTTTATATGTAGTAACTCTAAATTGCTATGGTAAAGCCTATAATATGGTAGCAATATGGGGCGTTTTATGCTAAAATACACGCAAACATTAGAGACGAGCCTAACTGCTTTTCTTACTTTCCTGAATATGGTAGGACCTGATCGCTGCAAAATGAACCCGTGCCTTAACGGAGGCACCTGTTATCCTACTGAAACTTCCTACGTATGCACCTGTGTGCCAGGATACAGCGGAGACCAGTGTGAACTTGGTAAGATGGTACTTGGCTGAAAAGGTGCAGTTCTTTCACAGAAGATATATTGGGGGAGAATTTATGTTGTCGAATCAATCAGAGATTTCAAAGAAACCCATATGAAGATTAATTATATGTTAAATGAAGTTAAAATCTGAGGGTAATTAACTAGGGGCTGGAAAATGGGTACAGATATTCAGTGAATTCTGTTAACGTAACCAAGACTCAGTGAGGCCTGCTGAGTCTTCTTGTGTTTTTTACAGGTAGAATTTACAAATGTAAAAATGCATAAATATTAACAAAAATGTACATTTATCCCCCAAATCTGCATATAAATAAAAATCAATTTCAGTATAAAAATCTTTTTAGAAAGCTAGACTTAAAAATTAGGAAAATAATAAAAGTTAGAGAGCTTTGTCCTTAGTTTTGGGATAATTTTTCTTCTCATTTGGAATGGGAAAGACCCTTCCCTGACTCCCAGCAACCAGCCCAACGTGCCTCGGCCTCAGGGAGCTGTGCAATTGCTGTTCCCTGCCTCTCTTTTGGTTCCAAGGAATATAATTGACCCTCACACTCCCATATTCTTATTTAGGCATCCTTCTCTTTAAAGAAAAAAAAAAAGGCACCAGTGTTGATTTGGCTACATATAGACCTCACTTCTGAGAAAAGAATGATGAAATATGTTGTCCAGATGTCCCTTTTAGAGATATCATGAAGGTTTGCTTAATTTGCTTACAATGATTGAGTAAAGAAAGCTCACCAATAGCACTTTAAATTATACATCAATATTGCGATACAATCCCAACATTCATATTAAAAGAGTACTTAAAAAAAGTCAACGAGGCCAGCGCGGTGGTTCAAGCCTATAACCCCAGCACTTTGGGAGGGCGAGGTGGGCGAATCGCTTGATCCCAGAAGTTCGAGACCAGCCTGGGCAACATGGCAGAACCTCACCTCTGCAAAAAAAAAAAAAAATTAACCGTGCCTGTAGTCCCAGCTACTTGGGAGGCTGAGGTGGAAAGATTGCTTAAGCCCAGAAGGTCGAGGCTGCAGTGAGCTGTGTTCACGCTACTGCACTCCAGGCTGGGTGACAAAGTGTCTGGCACTCAGCAAGCACCATAAACATGTTTGGTATTATTACTATATAATATCATGTTTACTAAGACCATTTCTTTAGGTAAGAATACATTATATGACTAAGAAATTTAACTTGCTTTGTATATTCATTTAAAAATATTCTTAAACATTAAATTTTTAGTGTAATTGCAAAATGCTATGGAAATAAAGTCACTAATTTCATCAGGGGAGATCATATGTAGAAAGATTAGAATCTGTGTAGAAAGATTTTATTTGACATAGATTTTAAAGTTGGGAAGATTTGACAGGTGGTGGAGGGAGATATGGACACAACAAACAAAAGCACAGAGGCCAAAAACTACAGAAGGCATTTGAATGACAGCCTCGATCCAGGTATGCCTACTTAGGGGTTTGGGAGAGGGAGACGTATTGGGAGACAGTACCAGAAGGCAGGTTGGGTCTAGAAAGCCCTGACAGTCTAAGAAGGTCCTGAGTTCAGGATACTGAATAGTGTTACTTCACACTCTAGTCAAGTGATTCTGAGACCTTAGCATGCATCAGAGGGCTGGTAAAACAGATTGTTGTCTCCACCTCAAAGTATGTGATTCAGTAGATTTGGGGTGGAATTGGAATTGTGGATTTTTAACATTCTTAGGTGATGCTGATGTTGTTTGTGGTCCAGGGAGCTCACGTTGAAGACTGCTGCCCTGGGCAATTGGGATCCATGGAATGTTTGGAAGTAAAAGAATAAAATTATCATGACTGTGTCTAAAAAAGATGACATTTAGCAGAGTGATGGATATATTGGAGAGGAAAGGGCCTAGGGATGGTGAGGCCAGTTAGATACTTTGAGTAGTCCATGTGTGAGGTAATCAGAGAATGAGCCATGATTGGAGGTGGGAAGGCTGGGGCTGTTGATTCTTCATTCGTTTTAGGGCTTATCTGATTCATTTATCAGCAATGGAGACAATGGCCCTACTCTGAATACCTTTGACATTTTCTTAGGGTTGCCAAATTTAGGAAATAACAATTCAGGATGGCCACTTATATTTGAGTTTCAAGTAAAAACGAAATAACTTTGTAGTATAGGTTTGCCCTAAATATGGCACGGACATACTTATGCTAACAAATTATACTTTTTTTAAAATCTGAAATTCAAATTTAACTGGCTGTCTTGTATGTTATCTTGCAACCTCACACTAAATGGAATTCTTTGATACTTTTTGAAAGTATTTTGTGAGCTTTTACTATTTTGTTTCAGATTTTGATGAATGTCACTCTAATCCCTGTCGTAATGGAGCCACTTGTGTTGATGGTTTTAACACATTCAGGTGCCTCTGCCTTCCAAGTTATGTTGGTGCACTTTGTGAGCAAGGTAAGAGCTATTGCAACATTTGTATGATGAACATTATTGATTTTTTTTTAGCAATTTTGGCCTCAATGCATAATCTTTCCTGCAGTGGAAATTCACATTTCCTTAGGTTTCCTTATTCAGGGATAGCTCAAAACATCTGAATCATAGTGTTGACTTGATTATGGTTGTTTAGCTGATAGATTGGAATTGCAGGCAGGCAAACTGAGCTGAATTTAAAGACATCCAGCCAATAAAAGGAATATTATCGTATGTATTTTTCTTGGGGACAAACTAAGCACTGACCTTACTGTGGCTCATGTACGAAGGAGTACTGAATTCAATATTAGCTGTTTTTATTTTCTCCTCCTAAGCACTTGAGACTCAATGGACTTATTTTTCATAGTCAATCATATCTGGAGAATGAGTTGATATAGTTGTTAGAATACATTTGCTTTGGCACATGCTAAGTAGAAGATATTGTGAATCTGCTCACCAGGAAATTTTCCTACTAAAGAAGGATTGACTTTTTCTGAATGAAAGAAAGCCCTATGTTCATGATGGCTTGAATCTCATGATCCCTGTAATTTGCATTTTACGGCCAACCTGAGGGTGTATTTTAGGTGGTTAATGGGAGCATTTCTTGGTCCATCAATAAGAAACAGATTGCATGCTAAGCACACTCAGCTTTGGAATGTCGATTTCCTCTACTTAAACTCGTACAGTGGTTTGGCTTTGATAAAAGTGTTCAGTGCCAAACTTCCATTCCACCAGACAAACTGAAAATGCATTAGACACTCAGGCACATTGGTCTGGTCCCACATTCTGCTTCATGGTGTTAATCTGGATGTCACTGCGATGAATGCAAATCCAAAAGGAGCATGTATTGAATTGCTGTTCCAAGTGGATGGATGATGGCTACATTTTTAGGTGTTGGTTTTTTTCTTTTTTTATTGCATAGGGTAAATCTGTTTGTTTTAGATTTTGAATATAAAGATAGACCAAGCAAGATCCTCTTCTTAAAGTAAAAACATTAGAAAGATGGCATTTGTTGAAGAAAACAAAAGCCTGAGACAGTTGAGACATTCCAATATGTTAAACATGATTCTGGCTTCTGTTAGTTCCAAGTACAAGAAGCAATTCAAAAAATCGTTTTTTCAATGTGCATTTACTGTCTTCCAGGCACTGTTCTGGGCATTGGAGATAGAAATATGAACAAAACAAAGTCTCTGATCCTGGTGACTTAGCATAACTCTTGGCAGAGAATAAAATTTAGTTCTTTACAGACTATCAAATGCATCCTGGCACATTGTTTCATTTGGTTGGCATAGCATTTCTATGCATTCAGTGGGCTAGAAATTAAGGCTCAGAGAAAAAAAGTGATGTGTTTAATGTCACACAGCTAGTAAATCGTACAATGGGAAAAGTGAACCTAAATGGCTTAACTCTACAGCCCAAGTTTCTCTGAATATCTTCACACTTCTAAAGTAACTCTCAAAGATAAACACTTTATTTATATGTTTATCTGATGCATTGAGTGGCAACAGATTTTTGGAAGGGACTTTGGTGCCATTGACCTTTTCTCTTTCTTTTCAAAAGAATATTGAAAGTAAAAAGTGTTAATTAATTTTATTTCTGGTGCCACCTGACTTTCAGGTACTTTTTATTGTATTTTCAAGCAAGTTTGATTTTCATGCACATTTTTTTGCTGAGAAACATCGATCTCAGTCTGTTTACGCAGTGCAGCTGTGCTCCTGTGATTTATTGCCAGGATACTGAAAGATTTTTTTCCTCTTTTCAGGTTGCCTAAGAACAAATGTTTTCTTCATTAACAGCAGCTTTGTTGTCTAAACAATTTTCTATCCAAAGTTTGGTGATGACCGTGTCAGTGTTCCTTCAGCTGACGTTTTCTGTTCTCTGACTAGTAACTTCCCAAGTCACAGTTACTCCGAAATAGGGGACACATTTTGGTGCAATAATTACAGATACAAAATCTAGAAAGGGCTATTGGAACAGTAGAGAGGCAGTTCTGGCTGCACAAACTGCCCTTGCCAAAGTCAGTGATACAGCTTGCCTAGTGAGAAGTGTGGAGGATGGGCACTTTCTTAGGACTTGACAGCTATATGTCAGAGAGGTTGAAAACATTACCTGTACAGCATCAAAAGAATAAATTTTTGGTGAATTTGTTTGTGATAGTTTCACCTTCTATGTTCATGAACAGGAGCTGTGCACACTACAAATCTGGGTTTGTATTGTAACCCATTGAAACAACCTATTTTTTTGTAACCTCTTTAAAACCTATAGGAGTTTTAAAGCATAAGATGTCTTTCCATGCATTGAATGATTTTTAAGAAAATGTCATCCACAAAGGTTGCCTTTTAATAAATAAAAAGAGTTTCACATAATTTTTAGGTAAGGTTGAAAAAACAAATAGACTATTTCTATGAATAGTATCTCCTATCAGAATAGCATCCTGGGAGATGCAGCTTGACAAATGATCCTTCATTACATATTTGTTGAATTCATGAATAATAAAATTTAAGTGGCCAGGCATGGTGGCTTACGCCTGTAATCCCAGCACTTTGGGAGGTCAAGGCGGGCGGATCACCTGAGGTCAGAAGTTCGAGACCAGCCTGGCCAACATGGCGAAACCCCATCTCTACTAAAAGTACAAAAATTAGCCGGGTGTGGTGGCGGGTGCCTGTAATCTCAGCTAATCAGGAGGCAGAGGCAGGAGAATAGCTTGAACCTGGGAGGCAGAGGTTGCAGTGAGCAGAGATCATGCCACCGCACTCCAGCCTGGGTGACAAGAGTGAGACTCCATCTCAAAAAAAAAAAAAAAAAAAAAGTGAATCAATGTGGATAGTTGGCTTTGTTTTTTTTTTTTTTACACAAAAACCACTCTAAGTGGTTTTTGCAGATATATTTATAGTCATTGGGAAGCTATGATTTAGATAGTACAAATAAATGCATTTTCCCAGTTTGGTTTTAACAGAAACCCCGCCTCTATTTTTTGGACCTGTGTTCTGATTGGAATGTATGCATCTGCTAACTGAGACAGGCACTGTTAGTAGTGAAGTGGTCACATATCTAAATTTTGTGATCATCTGGGTTTTCTTGTTTAGGAGGAAAAATACTTAATGATAAACTATTTAGAAGACAAAAAGGGGCTGGGTGCGATAGCTCACGCCTATAATCCCAGCACTCTGGGAGGCCAAGGCAGGTGGATCACCTGAGGTCAGGTGTTCAAGACCAGCCTGGGCAACATGGTGAAAGCCTGTCTCCACCAAAAAATACAAAAATTAGCCAGGCATGGTGGTGCACGCCTGTAGTCCCAGCTACTAGGGAGGCTGAGGCAGGAGACTCACTTGAACCCGAGAAGCAGAGGTTGCAGTGAGCCAAGATCATGCCACTGCACTCCAGCCTGGGTGACAAAGCGAGACTCCACCACAAAAAAAATAAAAAATAAAAAAGACAAAAAAGGGGAAACCAAACTAAAACCAATTGGGTTAATAGCAGATAAAAAAGGGTATGTAGAAAAGTTTTTTCTGATGTATTATTCAAGGGGTTAAGATCCTCCATAATTTTACATCATGTATCTTAAATTAATGTCCATGGTTAAGGAAAGTTATGCCATTATAAATCACATTATTTACTTTGGCAGTAAGAATGTTCTAAAAGTTTTTTTGATTCTCCTCCTCTGTAAACTAACCCCCTCATATAGGAAGAGCTGTGTTCTTCCTAGCCCTCTCACCTTACCTCTAAATTCTTACAAATGAACTTCCCCAAAGCAGAAATACTACATCCAAGTAGCCAAAATTTGCTTCATTTTGAGGCACTGAGTGCTACTTTTATACCAAACCATCTAGCTGTGTCTTGAGTCCTTTCCTATGAGACTTGGTGATCTCCAAACAACACTTTAATAAACGCAAAGCTTCCAGTGCACATTACTCAAAAGAATTAGTCAGCTGGCTGCAACTAAACAACAGGCCTGATAGACTAAACTGAAATAAATACTGCTCTCAGATAAGCTGCATCTGTTGTGTGAGTATGGTTTTAATCACTGAAGCCAGGAAAGAAATGAAATCTTTCAGAATTCATACTTTCCCACAGTTATAGAAAGAGGAGTAACAGGAATAAGAGTCAAGAGACAATCTGAGTTTCAATTTGGCCACCAAAACTAACGTATAAAGCAAACATTTATTTAATTTAGTAGGGTTGTGTTTTCTTCTATTAATCAGCAAATTTGGGTGGGGGGAGATACTTACTAGGTCATCTGGAAGGTTTTGTTGGTGCCTGAAATTCTATAAACTGCAGTTTTGTTAGTTTTTACATGTAACTACTTCAATATAATTGTGGGGTGTATTTTGTGAAAGTCAACCCCACCTGTGGATGAGCAATTCTGTGGGAAGATTGCCAATGAAGAATACAGTGCTATGAACAATGCCACTTTCTTGTGGAATTATGTAAAAATTGGCAACCTAGAAAGTGTAGCTGATACTGCCAGTGTAAAATTTAGATATATTTGAAAAATATTATTGTCCCACTGGAATATCAGTTATAGTGTGCTTATTGTGAAACACACACACAGACACACACACACACATATGTATATGACCTGGTGGAATGGGGGGGTGAGTTAAATAATTTAATTTATTTCATTTTTAATAAACTTAAAATCTTGATGCATTTTCATTGGGCATTACCTATCTTACCCTTCTTTTTAGGAAGAAGGCATACAGTTCTAGCTGTATCCCAAAACGTACCTATTCATAAAGGATTTTTTTCTCTTTGTCAGTTTTACATGACAAGAGCCTGTGACTTCTCAGATATCTCTTTGGGAAATGGGAGAGGACTACTTCCAGAACCTTTGAAGTTGTTATGCAAATAGGGCATTCATAATTCTATTAGCCGGAACTCTTATCTATCACTTGAATGAGTCTCTTAGAAAAGTTGTGTTGGTAAGGAATTAGCCCCAGTTGCTTCACAAGTAAGTCAGCCAGTGCTATAGCAGCCCAAGAGATTTTGGCTGGCCCCTCTTCCAGTTTTCTCTGGCTTTAATCAAGGAAGTTGCTGTTAGATGCTGCCTTTGCAATCCAAAGATATATAGCCATCCACTTGGCACGAATCAGTTGGGCTCACTTCATAATAATTTCTTTGTCATCGTGACCAAATTTTATGAATCAGTTACTTCAGGGACATTGCACAGATACTGGCTTGGGTATCCTACTAACACTTGGTTGGGGGTGCCAAGTTTGAATGACGTATGTGCGTTTAATAAGCTCCTGCCTGTTTCTTCTCAGATACCGAGACATGTGACTATGGCTGGCACAAATTCCAAGGGCAGTGCTACAAATACTTTGCCCATCGACGCACATGGGATGCAGCTGAACGGGAATGCCGTCTGCAGGGTGCCCATCTCACAAGCATCCTGTCTCACGAAGAACAAATGTTTGTTAATCGTATGTACCAAATAGATACGAGTTTCCAGGAACTTCACTTCTCATCACTCTCTTAGTTTTGTCTGTGTGCAAGTGAAAAGAAGTAGCTTTTTCAATCATAATACAACTTATCAAATCCCTCATCTGTGAATTACTTAAAATCATCTCACCTATGTTAAGTCCCCCATTTGGGGAAACATTCAACTATAATATAGGTAGGCATTGGTTTGTCTGCCAGCAGTAATAGTTGAAACACTTGCTGTAGGTTGAATCATAAGCAGTTGCTATTTGATCATTTTTAAATATACAAAAACAGCTATTTCTTATGGCTCAATAGAATTCTTACTATGGTTATACTTTCATAGTCTCTATTTTGAATATTTATATGCCTGTCTAAAATTACAGTTGTTTTCAGTTATTTTTGTCCTGCTAATTAAAATTGAATTGTTAATAATAGCACCCTAATCTTACCTTTTGGGCATATTGATTCTCATTCAAGTTTCTAAATATTTTAAATTGTGGAAAGTGAGCTACATCCTAAGAACTTGAATAGGTGGAGATTGAAAGCTAATGAAACTTAATATCAGAGCTGTTTAATAACTCCTTCAACTGCAGCAAAAAGGAGGGCAACTAGTTTTCATGTAGCAATATGTAGAAATTTGTTGCTCATAAAGCATTTTCTTAAGAGGTAGTGTCTTGCCATGCTGTCCAGGCTTGACTTGAACTACTGGCCTCAAGTAATCCTCCCACCTCTGCTTCCCAAAGTGCTGGGATCATAGGCGTGAGCCACCATTCCCAGCCTCATGAAGCGTTGTTTGATGTTCTATTAAATATTTTCTCGTGATGCCTACTATCGTTTAGAAGTTTGTTAATTTGTAATCTGGATAGAGGTTCATTTAACTTTACTGCGTGATATCCTTGCCAGTGACTCACCTCATGGTAAAAGTAAATATTTTTGAGGATAAATCTGTAGAACTGTCTAATCTAGGTGTTCACTAATTAAAATGTTTTGAAAAAAAGGAACAAGTGGCTTCCAAAATGAGGGTAGCGTGGATAAGATCTGGCACATTTTATTGGGTCACTGAATTTTTGCCAATGGCATCGCTTAAAAACAACAACAACAAAAAAATAGAAAATTTCTATCATAAAAAAAAGAAAATTTCTATCATGAGTGAGGGTGGGAAAAAATTTAATTATAGTAAATTGCTAGGGGAATTATTGTCTATGTCTTGATATTTTAATGCTTCACAGGGTTTGCACATTAACCTTTTCATTTAAAGCACATTGGGCAGAAGAACAAAAGGTAGACTAGGAGAGATTTTTATGAGCAACTAAATAAAAATCCAGCCAGTAAAGAGGATGCATGATTCATGCTGAAAATAATTTTCTTTGATATATTTTCATCCATATATGGAAAAGTAGTACAAATATCTGTGTGGTTTCCTATCCCTTAGGTGTGGGCCATGATTATCAGTGGATAGGCCTCAATGACAAGATGTTTGAGCATGACTTCCGTTGGACTGATGGCAGCACACTGGTAAGATGCCCTTGAAAATGATGTCAAGTTCTACCTTCTGGAAATTTGGTACTGTGCACTGATTGTGCATTACAGAGGGTGCATTAGACTGGAGGCAAGTTAAATGACTTGCTCAAGGTCACTCAGTGAAACAGAGAAGGGTTAGAAGAGTTCCAAGCTACCTGATCCAACATCCAGTCCTCTCTTCAATAGTTGTGGTTCTCTTCAAAAGAGGAGTGTACCAGATTTCTATCAAACCAGAAAACCAGACAATTAGTAGAATTGCCTTGGGTCTGTCTTTCAGATGGTTATCTTTGCTTTTTCTAGCTTCAGAGCAAAAAGAGAAGAATAAAATGTAGCAGAAAAAGTCATTTTAAAAAAATACCTTTCCGTCTTAAATAATTCACTGGAAATCCGCTATAAGGCATGACTCATTTCCAAGCAAAAATATCCATTTATTTTTATCTTAAAGAAGACTGTTGATATGATCTTGTGAATTTCTGCCAACTAATTACATATTTCAACTTGTTTTCTATTTTTTGAAGAAAGAAGTGACTTGGAAATGCTGGCCACAACTTTGAGTAGACTGTAATAGGTTCTTAGAACAGGTGAAGCTGTTTTGAGTCACTCTTACTAAACTCAAATAAATCTAATTTTTATAAAGAGTTCAAATATGATTGTCTATACTAGTGGTACTCAGTGCTGGCTGTTCATTAGAATCACCTGGAATATGTAATTAAAAACTGGTGCTTAGGCCTTATCCCAGGTCCATTACAGCAAAACCTCTAGCCGCTGTATTTTCTCAGTGTTCCACAGGTAATTCTTAAACGCAAAGTTGGGATCCACTGGGCTAGATAGTAAGTGTAAATTAAATTCTAAATTAGAAACAAAGTGTAAAATATTGAAGATAATTTTAAAGGCCTTTTTGTGTTTTTATTACTTAGGTATTCAGTTTCATTCATTATCTGCCACTTGTTTGGATTCAATGAGTTTGGCAAAATATAAAATTCATTCAAAAACAGATGTCAAAGTAATCTCTGCTTTTGGAAGTTCTGCTCTGTCTTAAGAGAAGCTGCTCCATCATGGACACACTACTCACTTTATCTATGTGCCAGCCACTGTATTAAGCACTTGCTTATGTTTATTCCCCACAATAACTTTTAAGAGAGGCAATGGGTTTTCCTTCACCTGTTTTACAGGTAAAGAAAGGGAAGGTCAGTTAGGTTGAGCTATTTGCCTGGAATCACAAAGCTGTTAACTGATGAAGCCAGAATTTGAACTTAGGCTTGTCTCCAAAGCCACAGTTTCTTCTGACCGGTACCTCCTCGGCTTTAAAAAGAGTGTATCCCTTGTTACATTTTCGCTTTGAGCAACCCAAAATAAGACCTGAGTTTCTCTCTCTGTCACCACTGTTTATGTTTAATCAGCACTGTTTCACTGTTTGTCATTCAAGTTCTTAAGTAGGTTATTTGGCAAGATGTGAGAAAAATAGGGAAAAATAGGTTGTTCTTAAAATATGTTCCCAGTAAGCAATAGGAAACACAACCTTAGAATCAATAGGCTCATCTTCTTCTATTAATAATTGTCCTGGCTGGATGTATTGGATCTGTATCTGCAATTGTTGCCTCTTTATGTTTTCATTTTGCTGTACTTAGGGGGATAATACTGGCCTATTAGATTAATAGCGATTGGTATAGCATGAATCTTTATATTACATTAATTTTAATTGAAGATAATTTTGATCCTATTAATTTAATTTCTAAGTGAACATATGATTCAGAGATTGTTTCTATATATTATAAGCTGTTTTTATAATTTTATTAATGTATATCATACAGTGAATGCATTTAATGAGTTTTCCTTGTTAAATGTGTACTTCATTCTCATGGAATACATTGGGTTTTAGGGTGCCCACTATTAAGTCTACCTCCCACGAATTTCCCTTATTTATAGCCCAGTGAAAAGTGCAGGGTTTTGTGAGCCCCCATCATGTATACAGAAGCTGGCATGCCCAGGACTCAGCTGGCCATTTCTATCTAGTTACTGCTTATTTGTGCCTGGCAGATGCAGCCCATGACTTATCCCAAAGTGTACCTGTTGTCTGGGTTCCTGTAGATTCCAGCCCTGAGCCTAGAATAGCTGCATTTGGCCAGGTGGAGTGTACGAAAAATCTTTTTTTCCTACACACTTACCTGACTGAACCAAGTCCCATCTATTTCTAATCTGTCATTGGTTACATAGATTTGATGTGTGTGTTTTTATTCTTAGCATGTATGTGTGTTACTAGATGTTTATTCTGGTCTCTCCCTTAGCAGTTCACCTCTTCAAAGAAGTAATTCTTTCCCCTGCTTTTTATTTCTCGTGGTGTCTGAAATAAAGTGTTATCCTTTATTCCTGTGTGCTTGGTTAAAGAGACTTCATATTGGCCTATATCTGGCAGCTATGTGGATTCTGTAGAGTATCTTAGGAAAATTATCTTCCCTGCCAAGTGCCATACAGGTGAGCTTGATTCATCATATGTCATTATTCCCCTATGCCAAAGCAAGGCAACTCAACTAGTTTTTGTCTGTGTCCATTAATTTTTAATGTAGGTACACAAATACTCTGAAAAACATAACAGTGACTATTTCCATAGTCTAGAAAGGTCCTAAACGTGGTAAATTAGTGAGCATCGCACCTTGTCAAAAAAGAAATATTGATTTCCCTCTGAAATTTTGCTCTGAAACTTCCAGAGGAAGATAACATAAGCTAACATAGATAACTGTACAACATAAACAAGAACCCTACTCTTAATTAGTTGGCACTTTCACTTGAAACGTAAGGATTATGGAGAATGCACTGAGGGCCTCAGTTTGAAGAAGACACATGATGAAATGTATTAACAAGCAAAGTTTATCAAAGAAATGACACAAGTAAATCCAGAAAAAACTCTGACAGACCCTCGGTTTCTTCTTAATTCACTCTCTGTGTAAAATAAAAGTGTGCTAAGGAATGTCCCTTAACTTTGAAAATACTGGAACAGAACAGACCATCTGTCTTAGAGCCGGTCTCCCTCGCATTCAACTGATCTCCTGCCCACTTTCTTGCTTTTGTAACCACCCTTTCCTCTATCCTTTTCCTCTCTGAAACAGCCTAGGTGTCCCTTAAACTCGTTTGTAGTTTTTTCTACAGTCACCATCCCCTTAACGGGTTCCATATGTGTGCAGGCCTTTGAATAAAATCCTTCTGCTTTGTTTCGCTGTTTACTCCAAGGTTTTTGCTTTTGAAAATATCCCTAACAGTAAAGTCTTGGTCAGGGGGATCAGTATCTGCTTATACTTGGAATGGTGTTAACTTGACTGTGTGCAGTTTTAAGGACTTTGTTTATGTTTTGGAGTGATTTCTCTCCTCTTCCACACCCTCTCTATCTCCATTTTTTTCTTTGAAAGATTTATTAGAGCTTCTCCGTCTTGGGTGGTAGAACAGTATTAAAACAAAAAGAACCTTTCATATTTACCTTAAAGTGTCTTTTGATATTTAGCCTTACAATCCAGTAAGAAGAAACAAGTTTATATTAGGTCTCAATTTCAATGATCCATTTTACTCAAATAATTAAACTTTGCTTTCAATAAACTTACAGTATAAATGTATCATATTTAATGTTATGCTATACAGCTAGACTAATTCAACTAGTATACTAAATTAATGATGTTATTTGGCTAAGTTATCTAAATTGCCCTTATTCTTGAGATTCTGATGGATTCATTCCACATTACTGGCCTCTATAATAGGATGTTGTTATCATTGATGAAATGCCAAATTCTCATTTCTGTTATATTTTTAAAATCTATTACTTTTTTTATTTGGGGTGTTTGCCCAATAAATTTCACAAAAGTGAATTCATGAATAAAATTGTGCCTAGCCTTACCCTTGTGATTTATATTAAGATTATTTCTTTTAATACATTTCAGTTTTTACTTTGTCACTTGGCTTTCTCCTAACCTAGTTATTCTTTAACTTGACTATTGTTAACTTGACGATTGTTCTCTATAGCAAAATGTGCCTACTGCTTTATTGGAAACCCTAACAAATAACTTCACTAATGAATTGCTTTGCTTGTCACCCAAGTAATATCTTCAAAGACACTCAGTTAAACCATCCAAGTTAAATATACATTAAAGCTGGCAAACTTAAACAAACTTTTCTTATCTAGCTTATATACTGTTAGCTGACTTTAAAGTTCTTTCTTAAACCAACTGTTAAATGAATGACTAGTCAGAGTGTTTTCTTTCAGATCTGTTTTCCAGTGCTAATGACCTTTCCCTTCCCTGGCTATGAACTCTTGTCGCTCCCTTAAAATTCTTCAGTGTCTGCTCATTGCCTTCAGTATAAAATGTTAATTATTAGTATGGCAGACAAAACCAATCCACTCCGTCTGCCACTTCCTGAGCTATAGCATCTCAAAATACTCTCAGCTCCTGGAATAAGCCATGGGTTCTCACTCCTGGGCGGCTTTGCCTGTACTGGCCCTAGTGTTTAGCATATTCTCACGTCTTATCCTCATTTCATCTCACAAACAGTCAAATACCCTGCATAGCCAAGGGTCTCCTTCCAGGAAGCCTTCCTTGCTGGGAATGACTAAGAGCTCCTCTTCTGTGCTCCCACATCTTTTTTGTCCTCCACCCATCCTAACTCAGGCTCCTGTGAAATCAACTTCCTGACACTGAGTCTTCTGAGATAGGAATTAACTTTCGTCTCTGTTTTTTCAGCAACTAGCAGAGTAGTTGACATAGAACAGGTATTTAATAAATATTTGAATGAACAAATGATCATCAGTATACACACATTGCTCAGCCAACTCTATCTTTTGAATCCTGAAATGAACACATTATGTCTTTCAGCTGAATCTCTTTGTGACATTTTTTGCCTAAATTAAAGATTTTATTTAAAGTTGTACCAGTATGAAAAACATCAAAACATAATAGATGGGTTTTACGGTGAAAAGACCAAAAAAAAAAAAAGATATTCCTTAAAAATAGAAGTATATAGTTGAACATACTGCATCTTATAAATGTATCAACCCAAAGGAAAACAAGTGTTTTTACTAGAAATGATGACAATTTTGTCCATGGTTGTCCTAGAAACACCTTTGCAATAAACTTTGGGAATTAAAAATGGAAAGTAAACTTTCAACCTCTGCCACCCCTGCAGGTTTGAGTTATATCAGGGCAGGTTTTCCATGAAACTTTAAGAAACCAACAATTACTCAAAACTTTGGAGGAGGATTTTTTTTTCCAGATAGGCACATATTCCGTAGGTATACTTTCTGAAGAAAAATGAGTTTTAGAAACCTTATTATTTATATCCAAAATGGAGTGAAACAAACAAAAGGAAATATCACTCCCAAATATTATCAGCTCATTTTACTTTTTATAGATGCTTTGGCTAAGGGTGATTTGGTTGCATAAGGTGGGATAGGGCTTCATTTGTAAATCCACTATCTGAGGCTGTTTATTCAAGTGCAGAGGAAGCCAGACAGGCAGGGAACGTTATGGAATCATTTATATTTATCTGTCAGTATACCTCCTGGCAAAATGATTTTCACAACACTGTTTTCAACTAAAGACTATAGTGTCTATGGGACAGCCCAATTAAGGAGCTATCAGAAACTCTTACATGCTTTCATCATACTGTTCTGTCTGACAAACCTCTCCAACAAGTGGTTTAAAATCAAATTGTGGAGCTCAGAGATTTAAAGCTGTCATATTGCTTCCTTCTCTCTTGGACCCTCTGGAGTAAGATTCTCACGAGGCGATTCTCTGGGCTCCACATTGTTCCTTTCTTCAATGATTCCCCCCAGCACCATCAAAGCTGACCCTTCCCCACTGGACACTGGTGTCTTCAGTGGATCAGACGCATTTACTTCAAAGGGAACCATCACTTTAGATGGCCATGTATAGAGGCCGAGGACTGAATAAAACTGACATTGCCATTCCATTTTTAAAATATTGGGGAGTTTTTGGAATATTTAGTTTGTTCTGCAGAAAAAGCCCTGACTTTATTCCTAAACATTTTAAAAAACATTTTCTGCATCTCCTTCACTTTTTTTACTTCTGTCATCTCTACATTGTCAGGACTCAAATGTCACACCCCGTGAGGCTGCTGGCTTCCCTGCTTCCTGGGAAATTATCACAGCTTCCTTCTTCTCACTTTCCATTCTACAGTTGGGAGAAAACAGAGAGACTTTCTCTCTTCTACATTTGTCCAAATCTGGTCAGGAAGTTCTAGAACAAGTTACTAAATCACAGATTCATAAATATCTTATTTTCTAGCTCTAACCAACTCATCTTGCTATGATAGTTGTGATATAAACTAAAAAAAAAACTAATTGATAGGACAATTAGTACAATTAATTGTACAATTAACCTTCATTACTTAAATTCTTCTTAAAAATATTTCTGGAAGATAACTCAATTTTGCATTTTGTTTTTCATTTTGGTAAGCATAGTTCAGCTTTGGCAACTTAATACCTACAATTTCCAACACCCACTTGTCCCCCTTCACCAGTTGATTCGAGTTGATGCACAAGAATGTCCAGATGTGTGGATTTGACTTTAAATCCAGAGGCTCCTTCTTCTTCTTTCATAAATAAACACATCAGTCTGTCAAGCAAAGTATTGTGAGAAAAGCCAGCTTTGAAAAAGGTAGAAACAATAAAGAAATAGCCCTTACCCAGGAAGAGACACTTAAAAGGGGCAGAAAAAATGGAGTAACAAATCACGGACCATAAACCATTATTGTTTTTCTGCAGCAATGTATCATTATTACCCTTTCATAAACACAAAGGTTCTTATTCCCCTTCCTCTCCCAGATGTCTTGGACATTGAAAAGAGAATACGGAGTATTCATTAATTCCAGTGCTTTCTAAGCTTGTTGTAGATTTCTGCTCATTTGAAAGGATTTCACATGATTTGACAGAAAAACAATGCAAAACACAATCCCCACAACAAAAATTTAAGTTTTCCTTTTCCTACCTGAAGATCTTAGAAGACTTTCTATACAACATTTGCAGATGGATGTATGTCAGCTGTGATGTGGCATTAGCTCTAAGTCAAATACCATTTCTCTGTGAACAAGTCACACTGCATATCAACATTAATTTAATTATGTTAAACTTCACAGGCTTTATTGTATTAATCCAAAAGCCAAGGAAAACATGCTCTTTTCTCATTCTTTAACACATTACTCATGAGTGGAAGAATTCTCAGATTCCCTTCTGTGAAAGACTACTGAGTTCTTAATGAAAATTTTGACTTGTGTTGTAGTTTAATTTGATTTGGAATCAAGAACTGATTCTTCTGATTCTAAATGTGAGATATTATGAGTCATAGAGTAGTTCTAGAACGCAACTCTGCTCTCTGCCTTGTCTTTCAGTTCAGATAGCTAGTGGTGGGTTGAACAGCTGGAAGAACCATATTTACTCACTACTGGAAAATCATTTTATAATTGACAAGATTATTATAAAGAATAAGAAAAGGAGATTTAGTGCAGTAGCATCTCACAGATGCTTTTCCAACAGTCTTCTGTGCAACTTTAAAATCTCATGCAGATATTTAAATCTAATTGCTAATTAGTTTAAGGCAATGCATAACCATGGAAAAGGCCAAAAAAAAAAAATATATTGAATGAGCTTTGGCAGTCTCTCCTTACATTTGGATCGTCAGCCCTTCATGACTGGAGACCTGTGCAAATAAGCTTGGGGTAAAGGAGCCTACTGGCACCATTCATTCTATGGATTAAATGCAAGTTGCTCTCTGGGCCTCTGCCTGAGGCCCCCTCTCTCACAGTGGTCTCACAGTGCGAGTAACTCACATCCTTCTGAAAATGCTGTTGATAATTGCTGCTTTGTAGGGCAGTGAGCTCACACTATTACACAAGATTAGTGCTGTTCTCAAGAGCTGGCCAGATTGTCTTTCCCGCACAGAGGTTTGCCAGCTAGGAAAATAATGGGCATATTGCCACTTTAACAACTATCAGGAGACCCCAAGTTAGTTTTTCTTCCCTTCAGCATATTCATGTTTGTAGGATCCAACTCCAGGCTGCCAGCATAGGGTAGTGACACCAAAACAAACGTCTCTTTCTCCTTTAAAACAAAGCTGCTCTTTTCTTTTCAGTTGTCGGTCAACGAATTACCCTGTTCAACTAAAAGACAGCAGCAAAACCATAACCTCCCTTAAAACATAAATAAAGAAGGACCCAGACTAGACTAACCTTAAGCAAGTACAAGGATCAGAAGAAGGTTTATCTTTACCTTGCAGGGAAGTCATTTGCCCCTAACAAACAAGACAAAGTTAAATGCACCACTCCCCCTCCAGACTGCAAACAAATGCCTATTGTGTACACCAGCCATCTAGGGATAAAAAAGTCATTTTAAAGGTACCAAATGTTTTGATTTCTGTAATAAGTAGTCCTCATAGCCTCTTTTCAGATAACCATTTGACCTGTGTTCTGAAAGGCTGAGGCTAACCCCAAGTGGTTATTCTGTTTGTTATTTAGTGAAAAGATGGTTTCTTATCGGCATATGTTTCAAACAGGTACCTGTCCTCTTGGGAAAGTGTTTTCTGTTTGGAATTTGCTTTCCTACTTCGGTGGTTATCTGCTTGCCCTTGGTATCCAGTGCGTTTGGATTGAATTTTGTAGCTCTGGGAGTACAGCAGTGGCAATATGGGCCCCAGGTGATGAAAAGAGTTTGCGCACAAAGAAGTCAGCTCTTACTGCAGGTGTCATGTTTTCATAGCTAATCTAGATAAATTTTTACGGAAAAACAAACTAACTGTGACTCACGCTGCAGACATTGCATTTGTGTGCTTAGGTGTTTATCTATGATCTGACCTCTCCTAAGGATTTTAGGTGGATGTTGCACATTTGGCTTTGGTTCTGATGCAATTTCACCATTGATGTAAATCATCGGATAATTTTAAAAGACAGAGTGGAAAAGAAGAAACTACCGTAGGTGAACATTTTAGACAGAAAGAAAATTCAGATTATGGATAGAATGGCTTGCAACAGAATAGAATGCAGTCAGGTTGGTAAATACTGGTTCACCGAGGTCTGTCTTCTTGCAAAGTGTTCTCTTTGTGTTTTCACTCACAAAACTGAGAGAACATATCCCAGACAATCTTTTATTTTTTATTTTTATTTTTTTATTTTTGCCACATGGAGTACATAATTACGATTTTGGGGGACATATTCCAAGTTCTCTTTTGTTAAGTGGTGTAGCCGTTAATTCATAATGTAAGAATGGATATATATCACCACCTAGTGGTCGTATTGTATTTTGTGTTTCAAAACCACATTCACAGAACTACACCCAGATACACACAAGAATAATACTATCTGTAAATCAAGTTCCTGTAGTTTTGAATAGTTTCTTAATTCTAGTATAAATTGCATGATACTGTGATCCTGAAAGTTAAATGTGAAATGAGAGGATTTTTCAAATGCAGCATGAAGCTAACACATGTAGTCAAATACTTAGTAAAATCCTAGCAACTAAGGCAAATATTAGGACCTATCTGTCCTGTGTTTTCACTTTATACACAATAGTAGAACGCTGGAGAAAGTTTTCTTTGGCTAGTTTCCTTGGGAGGTGAACAGAGAGGGCTTTTGCAGGGTTTTTTAGATGTTTTTTTTTTTTTCACTGTGAACTAAATTAGCAATGTTTGGAGGAAAACAGAGTAAGTGAAGAGCAGTGACTGAACCGTTCAAGAGAAAAACTCCCAAATTATAGTTTGAAGTTCAGTAAGTTCTCCCAACAATTAAAATAATGTATTGTGAATGGCTTGACTACACACATGTCAAGAATGGTTTTTCTCAAAGGGATGTGCTTGGCAAAATTCATAAAATCTATAAAACATCATCTTTAATTGGCCATTTAAGGTAATCTAAACTATGGCGAATTTTAAAAAACAAAAGGTGACTGCACCTAAGCTGAAAAATTATAGATAATATATGGATAGATAGAGAGAGAGAGTTGGAAAGTAGGCCCTTGGCAGTTACAGATTCAAGATTTGCCGCCCCAGTTATACATGAGATCCTGAAGGTCTGCAGTATGAAAACATTTGTACTTTTTGCTCAGGCACAAATTTGAACTGTACCCAATGACTGGCTAGTGTGTAAAAACTCTCAGTGAGCTCTCAAGTCTGTGTATTGGACAGCTCAGTTTTCCCATCACAAGAAGTAGGTTGCTGTCTACTCTGCTGACCATTTTGTTTGTTCTCTACTGTATTTATGGCAGGAAATTATCTGCTACACAGATGTGTATGAATGGAAGCATTACCAAGTCTTAGGTCTTAGGCACTTCTTTAATGCCAAGAAGTATTGTATGTGTAAGGGTGTGTGTGTGTGTGTGTGTGTGTGTGTGTGTGTGTATGTGTGAGAGAGAGACAGAGTCTCAAATTTATGACTCACAAAAATATGAACTTGAATTTTGTCTAGTGTCTATGAAAATTCTGTCTCTTTTTATTTATATTGTATGATTTAGAAGCCAGTAGAGAGGAAAAGAAATAGAAAGATTCTAAACAGTGTCTGACTCTTCTAGAGAACCAGTGCTCATTGATTATTCTTTGTAGTTATTTGACCAAGTTAGAGAATCTCAGTGAAAATGACTTGAAATGGGTTGAGTATTATAAAGAAACCCTAGTTATTGATTAGGTTTTGATAAGAACGATTGCTCTTAAAACTTCTTAGTCTTTTGCTCATAGATGAATTTGCTTCTGTATGTGATGTGCAGGGATCAGCTGGGACTTGACTGTGACAGCAGTAACTGATACTGGATGGTCTGGTTTCCTTTCTTCAACTGAAAGTAGTACTAAAGATGAACCCAAGAAAACTCATTTTTTAACACAAGGAAAAAAAAACCTCCTGGTTTATTTCTAAGTCTTATCTATTTCTGAAAAACTGCTTTTTTTTTTCTTTTTTTTTTGAGACGGTGTCTCACTCTTGTTGCCCAGGCTGGAGTGCAATGGCGTGATCTTTGCTCACTGCAACCTCCGCCTCCCGGGTTAAGTGATTCTCCTGCCTCAGCCTTCCGAGGAATTACAGGTGCCTGCCACCATGCCTGGCCAATTTTTTTTATTTTTAGTAGAGACAGGATTTCATCACCATGTTGGCCAGGCTGGTCTTGAACTCCCGACCTCAGGTGATCCAACTGCCTCAGCCTCCCAAAATGCTGGGATTGTAGTCGTGAGCCACCACACCTGGCCCTGAAAAACTGCTTTTTTAACCTTTGCAAAAAGGCAGTTATCCATCACTGCATAAGGAAAAGGGCTATTAGTGTACATTACATTTTTATCATCAGTTTGTTTTGTTCATGCTTGTGATGCTAGTTATCTGCTGAGATTTTAGGTCATTGATCATGGCCACCTGGTGTGTGTTTTAAATGATAAAAGATATCTCTGAATGACAGTTGGGATTTCCTAGACACTATGTAATCAGAAATTCACCTTGAACAGTGTAAACCCCATCTGAATTTGGTAGATTGTTGGTAACTTTCAAAAGCAGAGACCTCTCCCCACCCACCATCATCTTTTTTTTTCCTGGTATGTTGACTGAATTAAGTTGGAGACTTTGCAAAGAACTGGGAAGGAGAGAAATAGCTCTCCAACCATTCTGAGTGAGAAAAATAGTCAAATCACTCTGAGATACATGGAATTGAGGTCACTCTCTGAGGGTTAAGGATGCTGGCATGCACAGAAGTCATGTGCACTGCAGAAGACCTGCAGGATGAGTCTTCTCTTTTGTGTTATTGTGAGACAGAAATAAATTTTTGACAAGTACAGATTATTTGGAACAAAATAATCGAAACATTTAGAGTTCGATAGACTTCAATGAATAGCTTCAGTCTGCTCTGAGTTTTCACCCTGTTAGGAATGGTTCACAATGAGTTCTCTAGTTTGTGAAGAGAAACATACTTATTAGCTGTTAGATTTTGTCCAGGGTTTTTTGAATCATTTTATTATTTTGGCAGCTGATTTGCTTGAATTCAATTAGGGGAAAAAGAAAGAAAAACAATAACTGAAAAGTGACTGATTCCAGCTTAATCGAAATGGTAGCCCTTTTTGGCATGTTATTACAGACCTGGAGAACTAGTTATTTAATTGGACTCTAAAAATAAAGCAATTTTATCATATATTATCCAGCATTAAGCAGTTATATACTAGATATAAAATAATTATCTCTTAATAAAATGCAAGAAAAATTTACATCTGAGTTGGCTTTCCTCTACATCAACTATTTGCGTTTTTGTTTGTTTGTTTGTTTTGAGACGGAGTCTCACCTGACCCCCTAGGCTGGAGTGCAATGGTGCGATCTTGGCTCACTGCAACCTCCACCTCCCAGGTTCAAGTGATTTTCCTGCCTCAGCCTCCCGAGTAGCTGGGATTACAGGTGGCTGCCACTACGTCCGGCTAATTTTTTGTATTTTTAGTAGAGACGGGGTTTCACTATGTTGGCCAGGCTGGTCTCGAACTCCTGACCTCGTGATCCACCCGCCTCAGCCTCCCAAAGTGCTGGGATAACAGGCATGAGACACTGCACCCGGCAACTCTTTGATTTTTATGTCACAATTTCCTCTGCCATCAGAAGAGAGTGAAAATGCAAAGTAATTTTAGGGTTCTCTTTCAGGTGTAGTAGTGATCTAATTCTTGTCCCTGGGGAGGCAACAAGCGTTTGAGGTGTGTTGCATGAACTTGAGTCCCTGAGGCACAGACAAACATGCAGGGGAATGACCAGCATTTATTTTTCCCTAAGGGGTTAAAATGAATTTCCCCAACCCATGCTGGCTTCTGGGAATAATTCTTAGTTTGCACATTCAGCTCTAGAAGAGGGTTGATCCAAGATAGATCGCTCAGGATGTTTGCTCATAATTCAAAGTGAAAAATAAAGAAATCCAAATGGGAGGTACTGAGTTTTTCCCTGCTAATTCCAAGAATCTGTATTCCTGTATATATGAGACACCATATTGTGCAAGAAGATCTATTACCTTCTTATAACTTAGAATTGATTCCCTGAGAAGGGATTTCTTCTTAACATTTAACTTTAGTGAAAAGAAAAGTACGTTATTGAAGCTAAAGTTAATTTTTTTTTTATATTTTCTCCCTACAAGTAATGTTAAATAAGGCTGTAAAGAATTCAGAAAGACACAAAGGAAGTTGTTAAGAAAACTGGAGTTTTCTTTGCTAAGTCAGTTTGGCAATAACATGAAGCAAAATCAAAGCATCCTAGCCAAGATAAATCTGCACAATGGAATGATCAGATATGAGGTAATAGTGTGACATGCCTGTGGGTATCAGACATTCTTGTAAAAACCACAGAGCTAAAATTTGGTACTGCACCATTAAACTACAGCTCTGCCAAGCAACAACAGGAACACTCATTTTAAGTCATTGCTGCAAGCCAAATGTAATTCTCACCCAAAACAATTAAATCTTTTAACAGAGGCCTGAATCTGGGCAGTTTGAGCCCCGAGAATCACTTTAGTGGCATGGAGTCCGAATCTCATTTCAGTGTGAAAATGAGATGGTTATTGTTCAGATCAGGAGGAAGTGTCAGCTGCAAAATATAGGGCAGTCAAGTGACTTTAGTAACTTGCGGTGATATTTGTTAAGATTAGATTTAAAAAGGGTTAGTTAAGAAATTTGTATTTTTTGTGAGAAATGCACATATCATTTTATAAAGTTCATTTTTAGCAATTAGAAAAATAATGCTCACTCTAGAGAACTTGGAAAATATCATAAGTAAGAATATATAGAATAAAATATTATCTCAGTCTCATATCACTCAGACATAAACTCTGGAAGATTTTATTGCATTTGCTTTTGGTCTTTTATATACACAGACACACACGCAAACACAAACACACACACATACATCCATACACCCAGCTGTATCTGAGAGTATGAGTAAAATTTGGATCATTATAATGTAATAATTTAACACTTGTTTTACTACCCCCCATTTCTTTATTTATTCTTCAAAGAAAATTTTAAATGGTGATATAATATTCTATTTGTCTGGCTATATCATAATTTATTGAACATATGTTTACTCTATAAATTGTTTTCCCTTTACTGCTAATAAACGTAGTATTTCATATAAAATGTCATTCACATCTGTGATTATTTTTTAGTATAGAATTTTAGAAGTGGAATTTTGGGGTCCAAAAGCAAGAACTTTTTGAGGCTCCTGATATGCATTGCCACCTGTTTTCCAGAAAGGTTATTTACTTCCACTGGCTATGTCTGTAATTGTCTGTCTCACCTATTTGCTAGCAGCAAGCAGGATCTTTGATTAGGTATTGGTGTGGGTTGGGAAGAATGAAACACCCTCTGTGGTTCATTGTCTCTAAATATCAAAAACTATTTATTAAACAACATAAGTATGTGCCAAACATAGTTTCTGGCACTGAGGATACAGTAATGAGCAAAAGAAACCAAAGCCCTGTCCTCAATGAATTTACATTCTACTAGGAGAAAAAAATGCAATTAATGAGTAAATTATGTAGGATGGTAGAATATGATAAATGTTATGAAGAAAAAGAAATTAAGAAAGGGAGATGGGACAGTGTAGGTAGGGACAAAAAATGAGAGAGTAATGCACAGTGTACACATAGTATTAGGATGTTGGAAAATTTTCCACCTTTGAGGACATTACTGGTTTCCTGTAAGAGACTAGTTGGAAAGTAAGCTAGAAAATATTGAGCTCCTAAATCCAAATTTAATATTTGGCGAACTCTGGAATCTTTGACCATAGAGAGTACCAAATATAGATTTTTGTTAGTTTTAATGGATTCTTATTCTTTGGTTTTTAATTTTTATCCTACTTTAACTCATTCATTACAAACAACTTAGTTCTGTATCAGCAACAGGCAGAACATGACATATCTCTGAAATGTTGATTATCTATTAAAGGAGAGTATCAAAAATGTAAAAAGGAGGCTTGGCGAGTGGAGGGTGAGGGATGATAAGGGAAATGAGCAAAGAAAAAAAAAGGGAAATAATTAGAAACCCAGTGCAGAGCCAATGTGAGTTCCTGGTTGCAGGGAGACCTACCAGTCAAGGAGTACTTCAGTGAGTGTGGTCCCTTGAGCATCTTTTCCAGGCCATTTGGAGAGTAACACAGTGGGGCCATTTAGGCTACGAGTTGGATTTAAATTTGCCTCACTTCTGGATTAGGTTTTTCCCCCGAGAAATAAAACCACCCTTCATGCTGTATTTTGACAAAAAAACAACTTCCTTAAGGGTCTCTTGGTTTTTTGCAAGTTTATCACTCTTCAAACAGTCTTTTTTACATAGCAGTGATCTCTTGTCTCATATCTTAATTTTGGCAGGATTGAGGAGGACTTTAAAGTAAAGCTAAAAGACTGAAACAAAAGTAGGTTTTCAAACTTTAGATCTTTTCACAAATTATTTTATGAAAGATCTAAATTTTTTTTACCATATTTAAAAGTTTTGAAAACCACTTTTTCTGAGAAGAAAAATTACAGACATCCTCTAGTATATTAATTATACTCTTTTTGTTTGTAAACTAGAGCTTATTGGTATACAAATCCAATTTCATAGGTAGGAGAATACCTTTTAAGTTTTTTATTGTGCCAAGTATTAGAGATATAAAACACAGAAGAAACATTTGGTATTGAAAACACTGCAGATAGCTAAGTATAGTACTTTGGTAAATACAGTAAAATGGATCAGACATATATTTTAAAAGACTTAAAAATAGTGATAGTACTGTTGGGAGTAAGTAGGTAGTAGAGTAATTGGACCTTCCCTTTTTTTTTTTTTTTAATTTTTGCATTCACTGATGCTCTGAATTGAAAACAATTGCCTTAAATCTTATATACACTTTATTCTCTTTCTCTTTGCCAAATAAATTCACTTAACTCATTGTCTCAAACCATAAACTTATTTTAAACTTAATTCAAGGAAAGACTAACAGATCTGTAGGCCCAGAAAAGACAGTCATATTAGCCATTGTCACATAAATCTAAATCTGTATTTCTAGCATATTTTGGAAGTTTGTCACCACTAATGTTGTCATACTAGACATGATAAAGCATGAGAGTAGCCAAAGCATGGTGGGAAAGTGATGCTCAAATTGACCCAGAAAGGCGCTGAACAAACAAACTTGTCTCATACCACATTCTAGTTAAGAGGACTCAAGACTAGGAAACTGGTCTCTTATTTATAGGCCAATATTATTTTCATCTTATCAAAGTTTGTTATTCTTGAATAGGCACAGCGACTATGTTTTTTACATAATTATTGTTGCCAGGAAGGCAATATTTTAAGTAACAAAGAAATGAACCTAAACCGGAGAGTTCTGGGTGCATAACATCTCTAAGGTCCAAATAATTCCCTATTATGCTGCATTGTTGTAAGAGACAATGCATATCAAGTACCTAGAAAAGGGCTTCATCTATTATAGATGCTAAATAAATGACACATATGATGGAAGGCAAAAGATATTTTCAATTGTATATTATTGCTCAGAGTAGGATATATATATATACGTGTATATATAAAGGTAACCAGCAGAGAAATGTCAAACCCATAAAGTCCTTTTCAATGATCTCAACATACATTACACACAAAAAAAATCTGTAATAAGATATACTTTTGAAGGTGTATTTTTTATATCAATATGCATAAATGTCATAAATGTTTCTACTAAAAAGAAAACATTTCATATTAAATCATAAAGCACAACTCAACTGTATGGTGCAAATAAGAATCACATCTAAAACAAACTAGCTTTGAAAGGTTGTATATAAAATGATTAGCATAGGTATGTCAGATAAATACAAAAGATAAATATTGCAACTATCTCAACTTTTTTAACCAAATAGATGAATTTGGGTGAAAAGCAATTACAATAAATGAGACAAAGTTACTTTATAGTAGTACAGATAAGACAAGACAGGCTGAAAATTCGATTGAGGTATCATCACAATTATATAAATTTATATGTGCACATAAGAGGTAGAAGAAAACAATGATTAGAGTGATGAGATTATTTTTTCTCTAGTTCTACTTCCATTAATTTTATTGAATTAATAATATGATGAAATTCCTAAATTGAAGGTTGATGATATATTTAGAAATCTAGAATAACTAGGCCAAAATTTGTCCATGATATCTCATTGCCAAATAGTAGACATTCGTTCAATAAAGACTTTGAGACACATATATTTTCTACTCACAGTTTAACAGTCTTTTTCTGTACCACCAAAATAATTTCAGCTATATGAAACAACAGAAATTGTTGAGTCTATTCCAATTAGATTGTGATATAATACCGTCGTTGCTCTTACGTTACTTTTTGACTAGCAAGTAGTTACCTTCTCCCTCCATTTTTACAGCAATACGAGAATTGGAGACCCAACCAGCCAGACAGCTTCTTTTCTGCTGGAGAAGACTGTGTTGTAATCATTTGGCATGAGAATGGCCAGTGGAATGATGTTCCCTGCAATTACCATCTCACCTATACGTGCAAGAAAGGAACAGGTAATGATCACCCTGTTAATAATGTGTACTTAATCTTCATTTCAATTATAAAGATAATTCAGGAATTTGTGTCTCAAATTCATTGTTTGAGACACAAACTGGATATGTCCATGTATGTCATCTCTCGTTGCTCTGGAATATTTCACTCTTCCAAAACAATTGAAAAGTTTGTTTTCAACAATGTTCTCACCTTAGATTTCAGGTCCTTAAGATAACAATGTGACATTAACGTAGGAATGCTGCCTGGTAATATCTTTAAGAAGAACAACTGCCAGTCCAAAGGCCAATAGACCTTTTTATTTTTATTTATTTATTTATTTATTTATTTATTTATTTATTTATTATTATTATTGTTTTTTGAGATGGAGTCTCGCTCTGTCACCAGGCTGGACTACAGTGGTGTGATCTTGGCTCACGGCAACCTCCGCCTCTGGGTTCAAGCAATTCTCCTGCCTCAGCCTCCCAAGTAGCTGGGACTACAGGCGTGCACCATCACACCCAGCTAATTTTTGTATTTTTAGTAGAGATGGGGTTTCACCGTGTTAGCCAGGATGGTCTCAATCTCTTGACCTTGTAATCTGCCAGCCTCAGCCTCCCAAAGTGCTGGGATTACAGGCTTGAGCCACCGCTCCTGACCGACTTCTTTTTTTATTTTGATGAGAACATTACAAAATAAAATAGTTGTCAACAGTTAAAAATTAGGCTATATTTTTTAAATCTGGATTTTCAGCTTTTTTAAGAAATAAGAAGACCTGGTACCATGTGGCCCATATTCAGATTTGTCGGTGGTTTGAAGTACTAGAGCTGAGAACCACTGCCCTCCCTTGGTTGGGGCTGCAATCTCCATTTATTGCAGTCCTCATTGAGTCCTTCCTTTGTTTTATGTGAGTCCGTGTCCCAATCCTGAAAGACACAATCCCAAATGCCATAATCCTAAATGTTGAAATCTCAAAGGATTAAAATCCCAAAAATAGAATTCTGGAAAAAAACAAATTTTAAAGACATTTATTTACATTTTAAAATGATGATTTATTAGAGAAACATATAAAAACATGACAGCGTGCTTCATAAGCCACTTTAGACAATAAAATAAATAGACAATAAAAACATACATATATTTTCAAGCATAAGCACTCAGGTATACTAATGGCAGTTGGGGAAAAACCAAAATGTATGAATGCACATCACTCTGGTTGTAATTGTGTGCACCAGCTTTATAACGGTGGTCATCTGAAATACCATGATGAACAACATAAATCTTTTCACAAGATTGATGAAGAACTGAGATGGGTTACCACCGCATATTCAGTCACTCAAAGAGCTGAGATCTTGAGAAATTTTATCTTTCATAAATGGAGATGTATAAAAGAACATCTCTTCATTTATTGAGGAAGTTTCAATATTTTTATATTGAGAACCAAGGAAGCTGAAGCCAGTACTGTAACTCTCAGTCTGAGACCGAAAGCCTCAAGACCTGGGGGGCCTCTGGTGTGTAAGTCCTGGAATCCAAAGGCTAGTGAGCCTGGAGTTCTGATGTCCATGGTGGCAGAAGTCTGTCCCAGCTCTCAGAGAAAGACCAGCTTGCCTTCTGTATCTGTTCTCTCTGGGCCCCTGGCTGATTGGATGGTGCCCATCAACAATGAGGGCAGATCTTCCCCACCTCATCCACTCACGCTGACACATTAATCTTCTCTAGAAACACTCTGAGACGTGCCCCAAATAATGCTCTATTAGGTTTCTAGGTATTCCTTAATCCAGTCATGTTGACACCTAAAATTAAGTCTACAGGTCTACCCCTTGCAACTTGGCACCCATATGCATGTTTTTAAACCGTATTTAAATTTCCAAATAAAGACAATAACAAGGTAATATAATAATTTCTCCTGACATGATATAACTATCCTGCATACAACCAAAAATGCACTAATCCCTTCCCTAGAATTTGGCTTTCAGGATTTCAACATTTGGGATTTTAATATTTCAGAATTATGATTTTGGGGACTTTAGATGTTAGGGATTTTAACCTCTAGGGATTTTGGTCTTTAGGAATTTCAAAATTTGGGATTATGACTTTTGAGATTATGTCTTTTGGGATTATAATTGTCACCGGTTTTTGCCAACTGCCTGGTCTCTGTAGGCATTTGAGCTTTTTAACCATTCCCTTAGAAGTTTATTTTATGCTTATAAACTATGGATCACAAATGCCATCCTTATATCTGTAGTTGAATATTTACAAGATATAATAAAATAAGAACATGTGTAATATAAATTTTATGAGAATTGTTTAGTTAACATTAAACAAGAAATATTTTAAAAGCGAATTTTTTAAAAGGTGTGTTTATCATTGGCCAATTTCTAAAGCACGCTGTACAGACTTTTTCCCTAAACAAATAGAAATTCTGTAAAATATTTTAACCTATTTGCAATTAATAATGGTGTTATCACATGAATATTTAATCCCTAGACCCAGACTTTTACCCATCTCAAATAAGAGTACGAAGTACACATGTAAAATATAAACCTATTTGATTAATTTGTCTTTGAATACAAAAATAATAAAACTAAAAACCATACTCTATAAATATTTTAGGAAAGATTTAAACCCCAATAATGAGAAATTCTATTAGAAGAAAGAGAACACTAACATACATCAAGCCCGAGTCTCATATGAAAGTCAGCTGTTAGCAATAAGTACGTTAGTCTGCTGTTTTCTCACCCAAGGTAGAATGTATTCTCAATACCTTTTCTACATGAGAAGCTTTCCTGACCATGTCCCTTACTTCAGCACCTCTGCGATGAGATTTGTAAAACTAGCAAATCAAGTATTTTCTATTTTTCTTTTTCCGGTGTAGGAATCTTTACTAAATTATTCGTCTCTATCCAAATGTCATGTTTGCCCTCTTATGTCTCCAATGGTCCCTGGAGTCATACTTTTCATTTTATGATTTAAACATTCTTACATTTCCTATTTTATTTTCTCCTATAGCAGGGTTTCTCAACAGCAGAGCTATTGACATTTTTGGTCAGATAATTCTTTATTTTGAGAGGCTATCCTGTGCATTAAAGCATGTTTAGCATAATCCCTGCCCTTTGTATACTACATGTCAGTAGCACCTTTACATCCTTTCTGCATTGTAAAAAGCAAACATGTCTCTAGACATTGCCATATGTCTCCAGAAGAGGCAAACTGTCCCACGTTGAGAACCACTGCCCTATACCAAAAAAGATTCACAAAAACACCATGATTGTTTACATTTCCCAATGGATAACAAGTTTTATAAAATACTGGTTCTACCTCATTAAAGAAGAAGAAGGAAAAAAACCCTATTTTTGCATTTTATCTCCCCTACTCGCTGATTTTTATATTTGTGCAGTCAATTCTTTACTAATCAGAACTCTGGGGAAGTTTTTAAATGTTTATAGGCTTTTAAAAAAGATACCCTTTTCTCTTTTTAGATATTTTAAACCTACAGACCTAAGTAGTTTTCCTTTTAATTAACTATTACATACTTGTAACGATTTATAATATATACAAAAGGCATATTTTTTAAAAGAACACCTCAATGCATACTGCCCATGTATCTGTGGAGTATCCTGTGGGTTCCTCTCAATCCTATCTATTTACTTCTCAACTCCCACCAGAGATAATGACTTAATTCCCTTGCTTTTCCCTTTTCTATTATGATATACACTTGTTTCACTAAACAATAAATTATTTAGTGTTGTACATTTTTGAACTTTAAATAAGTGGGATCATACTGTATATATTCTGTGCTTTGCTCTTTTTTTTGTTCAGCATTATGTTTGTGAGATTTATTCATGTTGATGCATGTAATGGCATGTTCTTTGTTTTTGTTTCTGTATTGTATTTCTTGTATAACTATACAACATTTTACTTATCAATTCTCCTGTCAGTGGACGCTTGAGTCATATTCGGTGTTTTTGCTTTTATAAACAATGTTTCTATGAGCATTCTTGAACTTGTTCTTGGTCAACTTTTGTGAGTTTCTGTAGGATATATTTCCAGGAGTGAAGTTGCTGAGTCATAGGATATATGTACCATAAAATCTACTTTAAAAAGCCAAATTTTTTTCCAAAGTGGTGGTACCAATTTTCACTCCCACCAACAATCTGTGATAGATCCTGTTGCTCTACATCTTCTCCAACATTTGGCACTATTGGACTTTGAAATTTTTGCCAATCTGGTGGGTATAAAATGTAATCTCTTGTGACTTAATTCACATTTTTTGATACGTCTCTCTGAATATCTTTTCATATATTTATCAATCACTTGAAGCTCTGCTTTTGTAAAGTTTCTGTTCATATCTTTTGGTTATTTTTGAAAATTGTTTACTTATAATCTTATACATACTAATTTGTAGGAGTTCTTTTTATATTCTGGTTACTAATCCCTTGACAATTTTATATGTTGCAAATATCTTCTCCCAGTTTGTTGCTTGACTTCACCCTTACCTTATGATATTTTCTGATGAACAGAATCCTTAATTTTATTTATTTTTTTTCCTTTATGATCTAATCTTTTTTGTGTTTTAAGAAATCTTTACCTACTGATAACCTACAGGTCACATTGGCAGGCTTCCAAATTAATCCGCCTGGGGGAGGTCTTATGATTCATGGCTTACATCCTGTCCCTGAGTAAACAATTTTATCGTGAGTTCCTCAAATCTTATCATGAATTCCTTAAACTGTTGACATACTGATTAATATGTAGCCTACTGACAGTGGAAAAACACTGATTTGTTTCTGAATCCTGAAGTTTTACTGATTGTTTTGCACATAGAGCATTTTAGCTTGTATTTTGTAAATCGTAGCCAATGATTATAACCTCTGTATTGTACCCTCCAATGAAAATCACAACTCGGGTCTGAGGAGTTGCCCTCCCTTCTGAACTTCCCCATAAAAACCTTCCAACTTGTAGCAGATTCTGGAATATGCCCAAATTTGTGGTGTGTCTTCCCAGGTAGATCCTGGCATTTGGCTTCCAATAAGCCTTTATCAAATTATTTCTGCCTCAACAGCCTTAATTTTGGTTGACACTATCCTGAAGTCATAAAGATATTCTATAGTTTCTAAATGTTTTATAGTTTTGCCTCTTATATTTATATATTTCAACCATCTAGAATTGATTTTTAATGTCTTTTCTGAAGTATGGAACCAAGTTTATTATTTCTGTATGAATACACAAGTGTTCAAATGAAAAGACTACACTTTCCCTCTGCTCTGCCATGTTGCCTCTTTCAAATATCAAGCATATGTGTGTAAATCTCTTTCTGGTCTATTTTCCTGTCCTTGCCAATACCACACTCACTGAATTATTATAGCTTTTTAATAAGTCTTCATATTTAGTTTTAGAAGAAATCTATACAATTATTTCCTCAAAATTATAAAAATGAGTTCAAATTTGTTAGCATAGCACCAAATCAAGTACATTGAATTATTGAATTGATCATTTTTAACCTTCCCTATCACTTTGGTCTTATTCCATCTGATACTTGCTATTGTCTGGACCCTAGTATAGGCTTTCCATATTGCAATAAAAGAAGTGTGCACCATGGAATACGATGCAGCCATAAAAAGGAATGAGATCATGTCCCTTGCAGGAACATGGATGGAGCTGGAGGTCATCATCCTTAGCAAACTAACACAGGAACAGAAAACCAAATACTGCGTATTTTCACTTATAAGTGAGAGCTAAACACTGAGAACATAAGGACACAAAGAGGGGAAAAACAGACACTGGGGCCTACTTGAGGGTGGAGGATGGGAGGAGGGAGAAGATTAGAAAAATAACTGTTGGGTATTAGGCTTAGTACCTGGGTGACAAAATAATCTGTAAAACAAACCCCTGTGACATGAGTTTAGCTATATAACAAGCCTACACATTTACCCCTGAACTTAAAAGTTAAAAAAAAAAGTGTGCAGGTATCCAGATTGAGGTCAAGCAGAAGTAAATTAGAAGAACCAAACATTTAAATTAAACCAAAATTTGTCATTGCAGAAGGATATGGTTGTAAACAGTCCTCTGAATATGTAATAAATTTAATAATTGTAAACTTTTAATATTAGGATGTTGACATTCAAATATTTGGTACCAAGGTTTCTGGTAATCATTTTCCCACTGAATATTTGCAATATTTCATGAGAGAATGTGGCATGTTTTTGTGGGCCTGTGGTGTAAGAATTCTTAAGCAATAGAAATTTCCACTTAGGGAAAATTATATTTAAGTTACATTTGTATTAAAGATATATAGGTAAATATAATAATTTAATCAAAGTTCATTTTTTTAAAGCATATCATTTAAAATAAGTGTGCTAATGTTGAATAAAACTATGTTAACACAAATTCAATTAAATCAATTTTCCAAGCTTTTGGATTTTTTTAAAATTCAAAATTACAAAATTTTTCATTGTAAATTTAAAATGATGGTTAAGAATTCCAAGCTTTACCCTCATTTGCCTGTCTCAGGAGTTTTAATTTATATTCATTAAGGTATTTATGAAACTCAGGCATGAATATTATGGTCTCTTTTTCTTGTCTCAATACAGAAGACAAAAAAGAGCAAATAAATATAAATGGAACCAAAAGATATTTGTATTTAGGAGACTTTGTCCATATTTCAAAACTATGATGTTATTGTAGATTGTAAGGTTTTTTGTTTGTTTGTTTGTTTGTTTGTTTTGTTTTGTTTTGTTTTGTTTTTGAGACACAGTCTTGCTCTGTCACGAGGCTGGAGTGCAGTGGTGCAATCTCGGCTCACTGCAACCTCCGCCTCCCAGGTTCAAGTGATTCTCCTGCCTAAGCCTCCCGAGTAGCTGGGACTACAGGTGCCCACCACCATGCCTGGCTAATTTTTTGTATTTTTAGTAGAAACAGGGTTTCACCATGTTGGCCAGGATGGTCTTAATCTCTTGATCTCGTGATCCACCCCGCTTGGCCTCCCAAAGTGCTGGGATTACAGGCATAAGCCACTGTGCCTGGCCTGTAGATTGTACGTTTTTATAAGGAGGTAATAGTAATAGTTAAATTCATTATTGTCCCAAGTGAAGGTAATTAAGAAATAAAAACTTAGGGACGGTGATGAAGACAGTATGCTTTTTAATTTGGAAATTTTGTCAGAATAGTGGCCCTTCCAGAGGGGTAGATGAATGTATGACCATTTAGTCCTATGGTTGTTTTAATAAAACAAATTTCAAGATGGCATAATCTGAGATTCAAAGTAGGCCCAGAGCCTCAACATTACATTTTCTTTTTGAAAAATTTCATATTCTTAATTCTAAAAGATTGCCTTTGATGAAGTTGCTTACTTTGGTACCATAAAGAAAGAGAGAAAAATAAGAGACTCATATTAGTTGAAATACTTAGATTATTTGGAAATAACCCAATTTGCTTTCCTTTAGTCGCTTGCGGCCAGCCCCCTGTTGTAGAAAATGCCAAGACCTTTGGAAAGATGAAACCTCGTTATGAAATCAACTCCCTGATTAGATACCACTGCAAAGATGGTTTCATTCAACGTCACCTTCCAACTATCCGGTGCTTAGGAAATGGAAGATGGGCTATACCTAAAATTACCTGCATGAACCGTAAGTGGTCCTTTAGAAAGAATGGACTACCGTGCTATAACAACTACTAGACACCTTCATTTTACGGCTGTGGTATCGGCAGTTTAGGGTATGGAGCAAGTAATATTGTGTGTTTTCTTTTTTTCTTTCTTTCCTTCCATGTAGCATCTGCATACCAAAGGACTTATTCTATGAAATACTTTAAAAATTCCTCATCAGCAAAGGACAATTCAATAAATACATCCAAACATGATCATCGTTGGAGCCGGAGGTGGCAGGAGTCGAGGCGCTGATCCCTAAAATGGCGAACATGTGTTTTCATCATTTCAGCCAAAGTCCTAACTTCCTGTGCCTTTCCTATCACCTCGAGAAGTAATTATCAGTTGGTTTGGATTTTTGGACCACCGTTCAGTCATTTTGGGTTGCCGTGCTCCCAAAACATTTTAAATGAAAGTATTGGCATTCAAAAAGACAGCAGACAAAATGAAAGAAAATGAGAGCAGAAAGTAAGCATTTCCAGCCTATCTAATTTCTTTAGTTTTCTATTTGCCTCCAGTGCAGTCCATTTCCTAATGTATACCAGCCTACTGTACTATTTAAAATGCTCAATTTCAGCACCGATGGCCATGTAAATAAGATGATTTAATGTTGATTTTAATCCTGTATATAAAATAAAAAGTCACAATGAGTTTGGGCATATTTAATGATGATTATGGAGCCTTAGAGGTCTTTAATCATTGGTTCGGCTGCTTTTATGTAGTTTAGGCTGGAAATGGTTTCACTTGCTCTTTGACTGTCAGCAAGACTGAAGATGGCTTTTCCTGGACAGCTAGAAAACACAAAATCTTGTAGGTCATTGCACCTATCTCAGCCATAGGTGCAGTTTGCTTCTACATGATGCTAAAGGCTGCGAATGGGATCCTGATGGAACTAAGGACTCCAATGTCGAACTCTTCTTTGCTGCATTCCTTTTTCTTCACTTACAAGAAAGGCCTGAATGGAGGACTTTTCTGTAACCAGGAACATTTTTTAGGGGTCAAAGTGCTAATAATTAACTCAACCAGGTCTACTTTTTAATGGCTTTCATAACACTAACTCATAAGGTTACCGATCAATGCATTTCATACGGATATAGACCTAGGGCTCTGGAGGGTGGGGGATTGTTAAAACACATGCAAAAAAAAAAAAAAAAAAAAAAAAAGAAATTTTGTATATATAACCATTTTAATCTTTTATAAAGTTTTGAATGTTCATGTATGAATGCTGCAGCTGTGAAGCATACATAAATAAATGAAGTAAGCCATACTGATTTAATTTATTGGATGTTATTTTCCCTAAGACCTGAAAATGAACATAGTATGCTAGTTATTTTTCAGTGTTAGCCTTTTACTTTCCTCACACAATTTGGAATCATATAATATAGGTACTTTGTCCCTGATTAAATAATGTGACGGATAGAATGCATCAAGTGTTTATTATGAAAAGAGTGGAAAAGTATATAGCTTTTAGCAAAAGGTGTTTGCCCATTCTAAGAAATGAGCGAATATATAGAAATAGTGTGGGCATTTCTTCCTGTTAGGTGGAGTGTATGTGTTGACATTTCTCCCCATCTCTTCCCACTCTGTTTTCTCCCCATTATTTGAATAAAGTGACTGCTGAAGATGACTTTGAATCCTTATCCACTTAATTTAATGTTTAAAGAAAAACCTGTAATGGAAAGTAAGACTCCTTCCCTAATTTCAGTTTAGAGCAACTTGAAGAAGAGTAGACAAAAAATAAAATGCACATAGAAAAAGAGAAAAAGGGCACAAAGGGATTGGCCCAATATTGATTCTTTTTTTATAAAACCTCCTTTGGCTTAGAAGGAATGACTCTAGCTACAATAATACACAGTATGTTTAAGCAGGTTCCCTTGGTTGTTGCATTAAATGTAATCCACCTTTAGGTATTTTAGAGCACAGAACAACACTGTGTTGATCTAGTAGGTTTCTATTTTTCCTTTCTCTTTACAATGCACATAATACTTTCCTGTATTTATATCATAACGTGTATAGTGTAAAATGTGAATGACTTTTTTTGTGAATGAAAATCTAAAATCTTTGTAACTTTTTATATCTGCTTTTGTTTCACCAAAGAAACCTAAAATCCTTCTTTTACTACACTGTGACTGGTCTGGTTATTTACAACTTTAAATCCTTATGTGCACCAACATTTTTACATTCTGGTTCCATCATGGAGAGCAAGCTTCTAACCTGGATGAAATGATTTTGTGGCAAGCAAAGAAATGATTATATATTTACCCGTAAAAGTTGCGATAATAATTCTGATAATGTTTTCATCTGAATACTATGTATTAATTTCAAATATGGAAACTATGCAATGGGAAAAGTGATAGCTCACATCACAGAAATCTTCCTATGAACCAAGGCAAGTATTTTACATGTAATATATCATAACAAGCTTATGAAACAGGGGTCATCATTACTGACTGATAAGGGATCGGGCATAGAGGGCTCGTTATTTGTCCAAAATCATGCAGTTAGTGTGTAGCAGAAGCAGGTAATCCCTACAGCCCACACAGAATTTCCAAGAAAAATGTAAAATATTATATCCCTGATTGTTATGCATTTAAGAGGTTATCACCCATTCAGATATCCATCCGTTCCTTCAGTTTTCATTCATTCATTATTTAAGGATTTAATGTGTGCCAGGCACCGTAATAGGCTCTGAAGATTCACCAGTGGATGCGGTAGACAGGTTTCTGCCCACATAAAGTTTTTATACTGGCTGCATCCCATGGAAATTATCATAGAACCCATTCTATTCAGTATCTTTATTGATAATCTGGAAGAACCAATACATTTTATGCTCCAAAGTTATATCAAAGATATAAAGGTCAAAGGTGAGCTGAAAATTATTTTAAGGTTCTTTCTAGAAATGTCAAAAATATACAGGGAGTTTGGCATGAATAAGTGTGGAAGAGAAGAGATTATTTTCCTTTCTGAGCTTGTCCTTTTAGTGTGCACTCTGTCATATCTTTTACATAGAATTTAAATATGATCCAAGGGAATATATAAGAATTTATAATAATTGTGCATATATAGCCTTCTGAGATTATTGGTGGATCTAGGTACAAATAACAGAATCTGTGGGATGAACAGAATACTGGGACAGAGTGAGACATTAAAAAAGACTTACACTAGTCAAAGGCAGCAAGAAGTGGTTCTTTGTCCATTTTTAAAGGTTAAGTGGCATATCAGAGGGAAGAATGTGCCCCTGCGTTGGGGGCTATTTAAGAAGAGGTGGTCTTCCAGGGTAGCTGTATTACTAAAGAGGTAAGAGAGATTGTATAGGGAGAGGTGCATCATTTTAATGTGATGGTAAGTAGACCTTTGCTGATCTTAAGTAAATTTTCAATAAAGTACCAAGAGTAGGAACTGAATTAGCCACAAGCTATTTGCCCGGAAATCATATATCATGTACAATAAACTCACAGAGTTTGCAAATAAACAGAAAAAAATAAAGTAGTTGTAAAAAAGTTCCGGGTTAATTTTGTGCATGACTATTTCCCATGAAAAGGATCTATGAGAGAATATATTCTAGATAAGGGAAAAAGATGTTATTATCAAGTGGCTAAAGACTCAGTGATGAATACAACATTTGTAAAGTGTTTCCTTTTATGTTTCTTAATATTAGAAATGCAGTGAAATTGTTTCTGAAAAAAAAAAGGTTGGCAGTGATATGTTAGCACTGATATTGGTGCATCTTTCTTTTTACTGTATTGCAACTTGCATTTTCTCTAAACAAATCAGAATTCATCCAAATGATTCTTTTCTGAAACAAGTCTAAACAGAACATTTATAAAGGTCCTTGAGTGAGTCATTCAAGATTGTATAATCTTTTCCCATTATTACTCATTTCTGTATGTTTAGATCCCAGCTGGACAAGAAAGAGCAAATGCCAAAATAGAACAAGAATGGTTTTGTTGAGGTGTTTACAGAATAAGCAAAGCCTGGGTTTTAATTGGAATTTAATTCAGAGTTCTGTCTGAGTCCATCAAATGATCCCTGTTGAAGATTAAAAGTTTACTGCCTTAGGCAGTAAGTCTTAAATTATTTTTGATAGTATTTATTTAAAAATTTTAAAAACTATGTACCTCTCACATTTTAAGTTGTCAACAAAATTTTTTTTCATCATAAAGTTATACAACTATAGAGGATGTAATTTTTGACCTATTTTAAATATTGTCATTCTAAAATAAGCATGTAATATCACTTTCAGGATATATTCAGTGGAATCTAAATATCATAGTGGTTTGACCTCTTACATCATTCTTTTAAAAGTAGTCTTTTATTAAGAGTCAAAAATTTTATATTTTTGTTTTCGTTGGACTAATTCTAAAATTTAAGTTCCTCTTACGGAATGTTATCAAAAATTATATAGTTATATGCTTAGAAGTCTTCTATTGATTAAGCCATCAAACTTAAGTACATCAAAATTTGTACTTTAAAGTTTAAATTCTTTTTTCCTTGTGAACATAATCCTATAAACTAAAATTTTCCTGGACCAAGTTATTTTTGTAGTTTACTAATATACAATTGATCAAAACAATATAAAGCTATCGTAACATGTGAAAGATTATACAAATTGTAAAAATTTTGTTGGAAATATGTCTTAATGAGATGATTAGGGCTGTTTTTCCCAATTCACATTTCCGTAGGGAAATATTCCTTAAAACTAGAATGTGGCATGGCTTAGCACATTTCACTCTCATTTTGTTTGATAGATGTAAATACCGAGAAAATCTGTTTACATAAGTAGATGAAAATGATAGTTTTATTGTGCACTGCTACTCAATTTTTAAAGCAATTTCTGTTATATGCCAAAAATCACAGTGATCTATCAAAAGTTATTTTCAAATTACCTCTCAGCTGACATGTCAAGTCCTCCTTAATTTTTTTTTTAAATAAACACTTGGTTTGAAAAAGGATTTGTCACACTGGCATCAGAATTATTCAGTGTGAATTGTCTCTTACTTGTCCTAATTCTTGCATTCCATGGCAATGTATCCTAAGACTCAGAATGGATAAGAGATGTTTCATTTAGTGGTTGTTTTTTTTTTTTAAATAAAGTAGAAAAGGAGCAATTGTCTGAAGTATTGGTCCTCAAACTTTGTTCCTTGGAACAACAGCATTAGTTTCACCCAGGAACTTGTGAAAAATGCAAATCCTCAGACCTTACCCTACTGAATGAGAGATTATGGGAGTGGGGACAGCAGTATGGGTTTTCGCAGGCACTCCGGTGCTTCTCATGCATTCTAAGGTGTATGAGAACTGGCATAAAGGGGGATGCAAAAGCAGAAGCAGGAGCCTCCACCACAGACACCTCCCTAGGCAGATGAGTTTTAGAAAAGCCTCTAGGTGGAAATTAAAGTTCTGGAAATGGCTTCACTTTTATGTATCCCTTGGAAAGTCTTAGGGCACTCACACAGTAGGCATACTACCCTAGGAGTACATTAAGTTTTCCCCTGGTTTGGAGAAAGCTGCTTTAAGATACAGAGTCCTTAAAGTGCTTTCTGATTTTTAGTACATCATCTGTCCATATTTGTGAGCATGTGTTCTACCAGTCTGGTGGTGATTACTTTCCAACCTTTTAATGGGCCTCTGGTTTTAAAGAAAAAAATGAGAAAGGTTTTCTTTACAGGAAAAAACGAATAAAGCAGCATGATTAAAAATATTAATTTCTTAAAGACCTGATACAAAGTTTTAAGTGTAGGAATTAAGAGAAATTTAAAAACAGAAATAAAAGCAAAGAAGATATATTGTAATTTCTCTTCAAGAGCAAACCAGGAAAAGGAACCTCAAATTCAATGATGAGCCCTAAAAGAGGCCTAGGTGGGAGAATCCTTTGGAGTGGATTGATCTCTACATTGCTTCAGTTCCCAGAACATCTCACCCTCTCCTATGTTCATTAGCCAGATTAAACCCATTTTTCATATAATAATACATATTGAGCACTTATCAGGTTCCAGGGCACTCTGTTAGGTGCTGGGGATACTGTTATAAACAAGATTAGCTGAGTTTCTGTTTTTAGGGAGCTTACAGTCTGATGAGAAAGATTAGCAATGGCATTAAAGTAGGAGCAGTCTGATTTCTCAAAATGCAAAAGCCTCTGCTCTTGACCATCTCTTTTTTTTCCACTCTCCATCTTTGCCTGATTCCATTCATAACTGGCTTAAATCCCTACAGGATTACTTCCATGTCCAGTTGGTTGGATTCTATAGGCACATAAAGAGCTTTATCTTTCAAGTTGAACTATTATCTCTCTCTCTCCCCCAACCATTTTTTTTATAACTAGTAGTCTAAGAGTCATTCTGGCTTCTAATTTAATGCCCATATTCAATCAATTGCCAAATTCTATAATTCTACCTCCAAAGCCTTCTCATATCCATTCTCTTCTCTCTATCCAATATCTTAAATAGCTTTACTATCTCTAGACACACTGCTTTCCAAATTACCTTTCAAACTACTGCAGAGTATTCTTTAAAATGTGCAAATCAGAGCTTGGCATTCCCCAGCACAGAATTCTTCAGAACTTAATGCCTACAAAATAGAATCTAATTTCATATGCAGAGACCTTACCTACTTGTCCAATCTAATATTCTGCAAAATGCTGTGAAAAAAAAAAAACCAAACTATTTGATTTCAGGTCTTGATTTAGAAATCGTAAGTGGAACAACTATCAAATTTAAGTTCTAATGTTTTTATTTAATTAGATCAGTTTGGTTTCCTGTTAAGTCTCTGATCAAATGTCAGACTCTCTTTGTAGCAATTGTATGGGAGGCAAAAATGGAAGATTAAAACTGCTATTTGACTGAGTAAGACATAGGTGTGTCTTTCCAGGTACACTCTACACCCTTCTGCTCTGTGCTCTGAGATACTGACTGTATAGATTGCTCCTATTGGGTTCAGCCATAGAGAGCATTGCAGGAAATCAGAACCAGAGAGGATAACTCTATATCAGTGTGTAGCCACTTGGCTCCTCCCAATCCTGTGGGATTGCCATGGGCTGGTGGTACTCTATAATAAAGTTATTAGATCCTCCTGGGCAGCAGTCTCCACAGAGCCCTCTTTGCCTCCTGGTTCCACAGCTCCTCATAAGACCTTTCAGGACCGGTCTAGCAAGAGCTCTCCACTGTTTTTGGCTCCATAGATACTGTATTATGAACTGTGATTTCCTTAAGCTTCTCGCTTTTGTAAATCCCTTTATTAAACACTCTTTGACTAATTTTATTTGATTGTGTCATCTGTTTCCTGTTGGATTCTTGGCTGACAGTGTTATTTGATGCATTTCTTCAGGGGAAATTATGGAAGTAACCCCATTCATTTCATTCATAGGATAGGCATGCTACATTGCAGTCTGGAAGCTTGCACACTGGTTCCCTTGGGTTGCTTCTATGGCATCTTATTGTGTACTTATATGAGGTTATAGCCTTAATTCCTTTCTTGTAACCATTAAACACAAAGCATGTGATTGTTGCAACTGCCAGCCATTTTTCTGCCTCGGCTATGCATAAACATGGCCACACTACAGACTTCTTGGTCTGAACTTTGTGTTTTCTGGCTTAAATTTCCAAAACAAAATGTATTACTCCTCAACTTGAGTTCACAATCAAGGTCAGCTTTCAATGCTTGTTTTATACTTAGGAGGAAAAAAAAAGAGTAGGAGTGAAGTTATATAGGTGCATAACAAGTTTCTCTGAGACTAAACCCCAATATCTTTGAAACTTTTTGGTTACCCACTGAGAAAGTAGGATGAGAAGGGAGGAAGACATTGCTATTTTAAACCTGCCAACAGATTTCGTTTCTTTGGATAGAAGTATGCCTTTATCTTTCAGAGATGAATTTTTCCCTCTGGTTTTTGGAGAAGTCATTCCGGGGGACGTCTTCAAGTTACACAAATTTAAGACCAAGCTCATACTTCGGGATGAATTGGTAAAAGGAGAAGCTGAGCTGCTCTGCATTAAAAAGTAGATGTTGTTTTCTTCTCATACAAAGTGTTGTATCTTTTAGATTAAACTTTAATACATATTCTGTTCGTTTTCTCTGGGGTCTTGATTCCAGGGCATGAAAAATTCTTGGCAGAGGCTTTCTGTGTTGAAGAGGAAAGCTGATTCCAGCAACATGGTGGCAGATGTGCTGAAATCAAGAGAAACCTCTCCTAGAGATCTGTGCAGAGGCCTATAAACTCTGGAAGTAGTCCAATAAAGTACACTGTATTAAGTGTGGCTTGGTTGTGTTAGAATTCTTTACATTTCCTTAAATTCTCAGGATAATTTGGTTAAGTCTTGACTATGCTTTTCAGAACTAAGACATGGACCATGGCTTCATCTGTGTAGGGTAGAGCAATAATAGATCAGCAGCAGTCTTGGTAAGCCAGATAAAGATGGTTGGGAATCACATGCCTGGTATGCGAAGGCTGGCTGGGGTCAGAGTGATATGCAGGGCAATTGATGGAGTAGGGCAGCGTTCCTCAACAAAATGTGCCAAGAATATTTTGTGAGAGGGGCCTGATATGATTTTTAAATTTTTGGCAGGTAACGTGTGTTTTGGGGAATGCTGTTTTAGTGATAAAGGGAAGTGCAACTTCTTAAAACTAAATTTGGGAATATCTATATTATTCAGGCTTTCTTATAAGTAGTATCTTCATTGCTTAATATGTGGCAATATTTTGACTTTTAACTTTGAGTATCTTCTCCTTAAACATGAGGTAAATTAACAGATAATTTCATTTTGGATAAGGATATGTCGTTCAAAAAAGTGATTAGGAAAATTGTTAATGAACATAATAAGCAAAGAAAATAAAAGTAACGCAGCAAAAGAAGTAGAAGAAAGTTAGTTCCAATGATGGGGAAAAAATAGAATAGAAAATTAGTAAAGTAATTCCAGAAGAATGAGAGTAAAACAACAATATCATTGTTTTGGAAAAAGATTGAGGAAAGAAACAGGGATTTTAGAGGCTATACTAATCTAGGTTGAGCCAAAACATACCATTAAAAAGCAGGCTTTGGGATTCAGTGATGCTCTGATTATGAAAGGAGGAAAGAAGAGAATGGTAAGTGCAACATTTAGCGTACAGAGTTGAGGAAAATAGAAATACTATAAAGCATTCACGTCAACACAGTAGATAGGTTACATGGAACACCAAGAAACATTGGAAGCTCGCTACCAAAAGGACAAATGTTAGTGAGGGGCTTGGGAATTTCTGATTTTATAAGAAGGAAACAAACTTAGAATTATTTTTATTTAAATGAAGGTTTGAAAATACAAAAATAACAGCCCTGCTTATCCACAAAGGAGGAAGTTCAGGATAGAGATTAGACCAAAGGACGAGAGATGCTGAAACAACTGAGAATGAATGGACCATTGTGCTAAAACTGGAAAATATGCATCTAGGCTGAAAATAGCATAGGCAATTACTACTTATTGAATATTACCTAAATCATAACTCTCTCCATTACACACCATGAAAACACTTTAGATATGTGCTAAATTATGTCCTTGCTCCTTTGTTGTTATTGTTAATTTATTAGCTGAGTAACACCTGTTCATTGTAAACTTGTGGGAAAATACATAAAAGCACAAATAGGAAAGTAAATACTCAAGAGACTGTTTGCTTCAGATCACTATTTTTAACCCACAGGGATCCAAAGAGTTCTCAATAACTATATGTAGAGGGAACTATTTATTGGGTGCTAGTCACTCTCCTAAGTGTTTTGCCATCTGTTTCTTTTCACAAGAAAGTAAACTCCGTGAGCACAAAACCTGTTCTGTCTTGTTCATCACCATGTTCCTAACACCTGCAATAGGGCCTGGCATGCAGGAGGCACTCAATAAATATTTGTTAAATGAAGGACTAAATCACCTCTTCTAGTGTTCCCATAGATTTTATTGTCATGCCTATTTGCTGATGAGGAAACAGAGGTACAGAGAGATTATGCTGACTTCCCAAAGCTGCTTAGTGATGGGAGGTAGAGCTGGGATGTACACCTAGAAAGTTTGATTCCGGAGCTCATTAACACATTTGGTTATTACTCCGTGGGTAGTGGGGAGCCGGTAGAAAATAAGGTCAATGTGATGATATTAATAACATCACACTGGGCCGGGCGCTGTGGCTCACGCCTGTAATCCCAGCACTTTGGGAGGCCGAGGCGGGCAGATGATGAGGTCAGGAGATCAAGACCATCCTGGCTAACATGGTGAAACCCCGTCTGTACTAAAAATACAAAAAATTAGCTAGGCATGGTGGCACGCACCTGTAGTTCCAGCTACTCCGGAGGCTGAGGCAGGAGAATCACTTGAACCTGGGAGGCGGAGGTTGCAGCGAGCCGAGATGGTGCCACTACGCTCCATCCTGGTGAGGAAGCAAGACTCTGTCTCAAAAAAAAAAAAAAAAAAAAAAAAAAAAAAAAAAAACTAACAAAAAAAAAACAACTAACATCACACTGAAACTAAAACAGAAACCCCTTACCTCCATAAGACAGATGTTGTCAATAACTTATTACATTATTTGTTGAGCAGTTCTGTCAACCAGCAGCATCAGAAGCTGAGGACAGAAAAAGAAAAATGTAAAGCCATTTGTCTCTCACCACTCTGCTCCAGAAATATGCCATCCATGGTTGTCTGGCACCTAAATTAGTGGCTGAATGGTTTAACAAATAAGAATCACACAGCCTGTTGGGATTTCTAGAATTTCACATAAATGAATGTTTAGAAAAAAATATAGGTACAATTTGTGTCTATTTAAGACTGCGGAGTCAGAGTGAACGTCAGAGTCATTTCATTCTGGATTTCAGCACATCGTGACTTTTATTGTTGCCTATTTTACCAAAATAAATATTTGCCAGTTATTTTGTGATGCTGGGAACATGCCAGGGCATCAGTGGGAATGTCTGGAACAGAATCGAAAGTTGTTTTCCAGCGAGCTGTGGACAAATCTCCAAGCAGCCATTTTGCATGATCCTGGAGATCAAGAAATGCTTGCATGAATTTTCAAATACAGTTTACATTTTAGCATTCACAGGAGTCACTGACATGCCTATGACATATCCTAATTCACATAAGCATATAAGTCTGTGAATTTCTGAAGTGAATGGAGATTAAATAAAACAACCCAACTTTTGATTTCAAAGAAAATGTAGCAGAAAAAAATGACAATGTGTTCTAAGTTTTGATTACCCTTAAGAATGTACTTCGAATTAGGCTACAAATGTAAGAGCACAAATTCATTCCTTTGTTCATTTATTTTTTCATTCATTCACAATGTTTTTTAAGCACAAACTACATTTCAGGTATTATTTTATTTCTGAGATTCATTTCAGACTTTATTACATTGTTATTACAGTAGGACAAGACTCTTCTGGGTTTTAGTAATTGCCCCTGAAACATGAAACATTTAACCCTCCAGAAACGATCTGACAACATCCAACACTTATACTAGCACACTGAAAAGATATGTTATCTGTTTCAGTATTAAAGACATTACAAAGTGAAGCAAGCTTTGTTGGAAACTAGAAATAGCCTGTGAGTTCAGGTTGGAAAAAAATGTTTGAAGGCAGGAAGGAAGATTTGCACTCAAGCAACAAGTAGTTGTAATAACAAGTTTGTAATAATTCTGTGCCAAATAGGGACTCTGTATTTGAAAATATTGCCTCAAATATTTCATTCAATGTCATGTCTTATGCCATCTTGTAAGTTGATTTAAAATGTACTGAGACAATGCCAAACAATGTTTTAGCTGAACTTTCTTTGCTTGTGTCTCTCAGTTCCTTGTTTAGGAGTTGGGAACTGGTTACTTACACTCGAAATAGACAGGAAAGCCCCCTTGAATATCCTGAATGCCACTGAAAGATGCCGAGTTGACCTGTGGAGGGTGATTGGGGCAAGGCAGGATTGTCAGACCACAGCCAACAAAGGCAGAGCAGGTGTGGTAGAAAGCAGATGGGCCTGAAATCAGAAAATGTAGGATTAGGCCGGCGTGGTGGCTCACACCTGTGATCCCAGCACTTTGGGAGGCCGAGGTAGGTGGATCACTTGAGGTCAGGAGTTCAAGATCAGCCTGACCAATGTGATGAAACCCCACCTCTACTAAAAATACAAAAATAAGCTGGGCATGGTGGCGGGCACCTGTAATCTCAGCTACTCGGGAGGCTGAGGCAGGAGAATTGCTTGAACCTGGGAGGTGGAGGTTGCAGTGAGCTGAGGTCGTGCCACTGCACTCCAGCCTGGGTGAGAGAACGAGACTCTGTCTCAAAAAAGAAAATGTAGGATCAGACCCCAACATGTCCATCCAGTAACTTAGGGACTTTTGACACCCAGCCCCTGAGATTTAGTTTTCTCAGATAATGTAGCTGGCTCCCAACTGGACCTAAGATGGTGGTTAGGATTTGGTGCTGTCTGACTGTGAAGAGGTCATTCTTAGGTATCATTTTTATGAACACATTTTTTGGGGGGTTTTGGTTTAGCTGAAAACTAAAGAAAAATATTTTTCCTTTTTGTTTTCTTAGTGGAAAAGTGAGAGAACAGAGGTCTATCCTATGTATATCTACCACTTAAGGCCGAAGCCGAAGGAACTATTTTTATTAGAGATTGAAACCAAGACTTATGCAGTGCTATGCTTCACAACATGAGGGGCAGAATGTGATCCGTAGTCACATGGCAAGGGGCAAGGGAAATTGTGTGGCTCTGGTACCTGAGGGCTTCAGGGAACATGCCAGGGCATCAGTGGGAATGTCTAGACACCCAGACAGAACCAGAGGCTGCTCTGGGAGCTGGGGATGCTGTTAGACCCTCTGCACAGATGGAATCAAGAGTCAGATGATTAGTTATTTAAGCCATTATGATCACTTCAAGGCTGTTCTAGTGAAGACAGGGGTAAATGAGGCTAAAAGTGTTTCAGACACTTTAATTTAGTAGTAAAAGAGCCCTTTCTACTCACAATGAAAGCTTATTCTGAACACAGATACATAATACAGATAGAAGTAGAGCTCTCTGTGTTGAAATGGTAAGAACCTGGAGCTACCCGCTTAGCTCAACCGGCATCTATGTTTCTTACAGCTCCCTAAGTGCTTCCAATTTGCAGCCAAGGTGGAGGACCACTGCCTTAGAGAAATGCTTCTCAAACATTAATGTACTTACTAGTCACCTGGGGATCTTGTTAAAATGCAGGTTTCTATTCAGGAGGTCTGGGATGGGGTCTGAGGCTCTGCAAGTCTAACAAGCTCCCAGGTGATTCTGATGTTGCCGGTAGGTAAAACACACTTTGAATAACAAGGTCTTGGAACACTGGTTCTCTCACTTTCGTGGGCATAAAAATCTCATAGGGTGCTTATTAAAACACCGATTATTGTGCTTGGCTCTCAGAATGTTGGATTCAGTAGGTCTATGATAGGGCCTGGCAATTTGCATTTCTAATATGTTCACGGGTGATGTAGCTCTGGGCGTGATCACGTAGGGCAATATTTGCAAAACCTGGCAGAACTTGGCAACCTCATAATGTATACTCATGCCTGGCACCTCCACCCCTCCCCACTCCCCTTGACGCTCCATCCCTGCCTCTAGCAGAATCTGCTTTAAAGGCCCCTTGTTGATGCTAATCAAACCATTGATATAAGGCCTTATAGGTCACATGAGGACTTGAGATTTCATTCTAAATACATACTATATATTCATTGTCTCTGCTTTTCAAAATAATTCTTGACTGGATTAAAGATATTTTAAAACAGATCACTGATGAAATCCTAACACCTGAACTATACATTTTCATCTGGTTCCCTACGAATTATGTCATCTGAATATTATCTGATGAGTATTATTTCAGCAGATTATTTCATCTGAATAATCCCTATGAGGTAGATACTGTCTCCATTATCTCTTTTATTACAAGTGAGGGAGACTCAGAAATGTTGTTAGCCAGACAATTCTTTAATTCCTGTAGAGAAATAGATTAAGAGTTCAAAACTGGTTGATTTTGGAATCTACTCATGCCAAACTAGCTATATTGTTTTCCTCCCACTTTCTATTAACTTGGGTCTGTTCCATTATGGGTTATGTGGCAGAAGCTAATTACTGGGAGCTTGTAATTTGAAGTGACAGGTAATCGAAACTTCAGTCCTCTATGAATGTCTGTGTAATGCATAATACATTATTAAGCACTAATTATTTAAAACACAAATGAAGCTGATTGAAGTCAGCTGCAGGAATTGGTGGTTAATATTAAAATTGAAACTACAGATAATTAACTTGGGTCCAAAAAAGCTCATTTCAAGGTAGCCCGCAAAAATTATTTTTTGTCATTTGGTATTAATTATGACATGATAATAAGCCTAATTTTATTTATTTGGTCCATGTACATTTGCCTCATGTTCTCAGGACAAAAAGCAGAATAAAAGTTCTAAATCCAAGAAAGGAAGAAAATAATCTATCCCACACTTGTATTAATATTTAATTGTTTGCTGAATTAATACTCTAAGGTTGCCAACACAAACCTCAGTGGAAATGGTGATTCTTTTAAAAGAATATTAAATTGGATTTTAGTTTCAAATGGGATATTATTTTATAAAATTTTATCAGTCAAATTTTTCTAAATGGAACATCTTATTAGAACAATAGGATGCATATCCCCAATAGTTTATGTATATACACTGTAAAAATATATGCTATATAAATAATATATAACATTATGATATATATTATTATATGATATTATGTATCATGCTATATATTATGATATATAATATATTATGTTACATATATAATATAATATGTTACATATTATGATATATAATATATTATAATACATTATATACCATATTATATTATATATTATATATATTATAATTATATATTATAATGTAATATATTTTAATACATTATATATCATTATAATATAAAATATTTTAATATATTATATATCATATTATTATATATTATATAATACATTGTATATTATATCATATACATAAATATTGTATCTAATTTCCTATTAGTTTTTGTTTCTGGAATTGTCCACCTGAAGCTTTGTATCCTGCAGCAGTGTATGATGATGTATCTTGTGTAAGTGCGGGAAAAAAGTGAAGATTTTTTAAAGTATAGTTGGAGTAGTACCTATCGATAAACATATTTCTGTGATTTGCGGAAGAGATCCCAGAAGTGTACATTTCTCCAGTACAAATATGCCATAGTGCTAAGAAGAAGCAGCTCTAACTTCCTCTGCCACCTATCTGCAACTTGGGGCATTGGGAGCAAAATTAAAATCCTTGCCCATTAAAATCCTTGTGGGGCTTTAGAACTATACTTAGTTTTCTTCAGGAGCAACAATCTCCAAGGCTAGCTACCTTGAGGATTTATAAGTTTAGTATAGATAGAAATGACAGATTTTCCTGCCCCCCAGGTCTTCTTGTTGATTATTGAAAAAACATAAATTATTTTCCTCATCCAATATTTAGGGAAAAAAAAACTGGTAAAGATACGATTTCTTAAAGGTCCCCTGGCCAAGGTGGACACACTGGCAGTGGTAGCATTTAACTCAGTTGCTCTTTCATTTAAACTCCTCATGTAAACATTTTCTTCACTTGACTTCCAGGATCAAATTCTCCTGGATTTTCTTCTATTTCTTAGGCATCTTCCTTGCTGGTTGCTCCCATCTTTTCTATTTGTGCTTTCTCTCTTGTTGATATTATCAAGTCTTGTGGTTGTAAACAGCATAAATGTGTTTATGACTTGGCCTAGACCTCTATATCAAGCTCCAAATATAGCCTACCGTACATCTCCACTTGTATGTTAATAGGGATCTCAACTTAACACACCCAAATCCAAACTCCTGATCTCCCTCCTGCTTGCTCTGTCCATCACCTTCCCTATTTCAGCACCGCCACTGCTACCACCCTGGTCCAAGTCACCATTATCTTATGCTTGAGTTAAGCACTAATAGCCTACTAGACTATTGGGTCCATCCTTTCTCCACTTTGGTTTAATTTTATCAGGGCAGCTAGAATGAGCCGATTCAAACCCAAGTCAGAGTATGTCACTTATTATTGAATGTCTCCAGTGGGTGCCCATCTATCTCAGAGTAAAAGACACAATTGACCCCATTTGTGTAGGGTGCCTGTGCCACCGCTCCTTGAGCCCTCTCTGATTCCTTCTGCTGCTGTTCTCCCTGTACTCACTCTGCTAGGGCCTCAGTGGTCTTCTTGCTGTTCCTGCACATGCCAGGCCCACTCACTTAGTGTTTTGCACTTGCTTTTTGGTCTGCCTGGATCAGTCATCTTTCAGATATGTGACTGGCTTTTTCTGTCACCTCCTACAGAACTTTACTAAAAAAAAATGCCACTTTCTCAGAAAAGACTTACTTTTTTTTTTTTTGAAAGAGTCTCACTCTGTCACCCAGGCTGGAGTGCAGTGGTGCAATTTCGGCTCACTGTAACCTCTGTCTTTTAGGATCAAGTGATTATTGTGCCTCAGCCTTCCACGTAGCTGGGATTACAGGCACGTGCCACCACGCCCCGCTATTTTTTTTTTTTTTTAATTTTTAGTAGAGACGGGGTTTTACCATGCTGGCCAGACTGGTCTCAAACTCCTGACCTCAGTTGATTGGCCTGCTTCAGCCTCCCAAAGTGCTGGGATTACAGGCATGAGCCACCGTGCCCAGCCAGTAAAACCTTTCTTGAACATCTATTTAAAACTCCAACCCCCTCGTTCAACTTCCATCTTCATTGACAACAAGAACACCTGGCCCTTAGTAGGCACTCAATAATATTTGTTGAATGAATGCATGATTATCTCCCTACACATAATTCTTCTGAACATTTGAGCAATGGGCGACCCATTTTTACAGAACTGTATCTTACCATACTCTTTCTCCATATTTCTCATTGCTTGTTTGTTCTAAAAGCCAGATTTCCATTTTCCATTTCTTTCATTCAATAAATACTTATTGATTGACTTCAATGTGCTGGACCTGTGCTAGGTGCTGAATAATACAGTAATGAAACAAACATTGTCCTTATTATCAGAGAAAGACATTGGATACAAAACACAAAGACATGTAATATTATAAATTGTTGTAAGATGTTGTGAAGGCAGAAACAATGTACTGTGAGGAACAATAACAGTGGAGGGAGGGTATTTACTTTGGTGGGATGGGAAGGCCACCCGAAGGAGGTGACATTGAAGCCAAGGTGAGCTGTGAAGAACCAGAAGAAACCAATAAAACAAAATGTAAAGACTGGGTTGGGTGGGGGAAGTACACATTTCAGGGAAAGAAAACAATCCTGTATGAAAGCTCTGAGAAAATAAAAACATGGCATATTTGAGAAATCAAAAGAAAGCCAGTGTAATTAAAGTGGGAGATTGGCAGTTCCTATAAGTTCTACAACATCGTGTAATGATTAAGGGCTTTGATCCCTAGAGGCAGACTCCCTGGGTCAAATTCAGGATTCACCTCTTAATAGCCTGTCATATTTGACAAGTTATTTACTCCGTGCTTTAGTTTTCTCATCTGTAAAAGGAAGCCATAATGCTTATCCTATATGGTAATTGTGTTATCAAATTAGTGATTGGATGCTAAGTACTTAGGACATCTTCTGCAATATAGTGTCTTAGTCTGTGTGAGCTGCTATAACATAATATCATTAATTGGGTAGCTTAGAAAAAACAGAAATGTATTCCTCATAGTTCTAGAGGCTGGAAAGGCCAAGGTCAAGGTGCAGGCAAAATCAGTGTCTGGTGTGGACCTGTTTCCCAGTTGCCTTTTCCTGTGTCCTCACATGGTGGAAGAAGTCTCTTTTATAAGGGCACTAATCCCATTCATGAGAGCTCCACTCTCGTGACCTAATCACTTCCCAAAGGCCTTACATTTGTCAAAATACTCCCTTTCTTTCCTACCCAATGAATAACAAGGTCTTCCAGAGATTTCTGGTAAATAAGATTTTCACAAGTCAAGTCTTCTCATTGACTCATTAGCCAAAGTACTTCAACAAAGCTTTTAATCCAAGTTAGCACCCAAAAGCTAAACACTTACACCAGGCCATTAGAGTGAACCCAGTAAAGTGGAACATAACTTTCAATATTCTATTTGCATCTAAAACTTGTTTTGCTAAAATAAAAAAAATTTACTAGTTGATATCACCAATTTGCATTAGCACTGGTTGTTCAGTCTAAATTAGCTTTCTTTTTTGCTTCCAGGATATCATTATATTTTTCATGCCTTATTTCTATAAATAAAATAAAAATATATTAAGATTATCCATACACAACTTATTGGCTGCAAACCAGGTCTGAATGCAGAATTGGCAACACATATTAGAACAATTACAAACAAAAAAGTCTTTTTCAAAGTTCTTTATGTGTTTCCCTTTCATGACACAAAGGACTAAGCAACACATCATTTTCTATGCTATAATAAAATCATCCATTTTCAGCATTCTAACTGATAGAGAAAATTGTTTTGTTCTAAATGAAAATAGAAATTCTAAGTGCTAGTAGATGAATTCATATCTAATTATCTAACTTGTCTTATAGAAAGGCAATACCGGGATATTTAAGTTGAAATATTCTGCCTAGAAATCAATGTAATAGAAGCCTGATTTTCTGTACAGAATGTTTCTTATTGTTGTAAAACATATTCCAAATTTCCAATTATAGATCTATTTAATAAATTTTTGCATCGACCCAATTTTAGCACTTAAATGTATTTTCAGAGGGAAGGGGAGGGCCCTCTTTTTACAACAAAAACCTTGTGTTGACTCTTAAGATAGTTAAATTCTTGCAGACACTTACGTTGTATGTTCCCTTTTCTAACAGTCAGATTTGTAACAACCTATCTGGTATAGTGACAAATAAGCAAGAATTGCCCAAATCACCACAGAGGATCAGGGCACATCTTGCACTTTGGGTCCCCCAGAAGCACCTACTCTGCAATCTGCTCTAGTTGTACCATTTTTCTTAAACCAACAAGATCTGAGATAACAAAGATGAGTCCTAGGGAAAGAACAAGGAAGAACAAGGAAATTGTATGTAGATCATTCTAAATTTGCATGTATATATCTTCTATATTATGCATGGCATCCCAAAATAGTACGATACTGACTTAGGGTAATAAGGGCCTGGAATACACGTGGAGAAAGGACACAATATTCTACACGAACTGCCTTTATGTGAAATACTCCATTTGTAAGAAGTCCTTACAAAGTATAAACAACCATTTGTAGTTACAAAAATTATGTACAAGGACTTGGACCTTTCCCACCAGGATAGAATAATAGAGACCAGATTTATCCTTTTAAGCAGCAATTAGAAAAACAAAGTATATTAAAAAATGGTTTTCAGATATTGAACATCAGGCAGCACAGGACAGTGATCCCTGAGAGAAAAGAAAGCAATGTGGCAACTGAAAAGATGTCTTTCTATTTGCATAGATGAAAAGAATATAGCTGAGAGAGAATATAACATTGGAGCGGGGGCCAGAGGGTGAGAAGGATACAGCATGGTATAGGAGAAAGAGCAATCCTTAAACTCCGGCATCAGCAAGACCTGTGCTTCAAGCTCAGCTCTTCCATTTACTAAATACACACAGCAGGCATTCAAAAATAGAAGAGAATATTTATCAGATATCACACTTGAGGCAGAAATTATCACTGAGGGATAGAATAATCAATTCAGAAATAAAGAGAAAAGGTTGTAGAATAGGCCATTTTTTTCCTTAAATATTGCTTCTGCCCTATTCTTTCACCCCTTTCCTTCCTGTACTCCAATTAAGCAGATGTATACCTTTTGATTATGCTTTGCACATCTCTTACTTTATGTCGTTTCTTCTATTTTTGTTTCTCTTTATGCTTCTTTTCTGCATATTATTTTTCTTCTGTTTTCTGGTTTACTGATCCTGTTTTATATTGGGTTCAGTCCATTGTAAAACCCATCCAATGATTTGTTAATTTCTTTCTTTTTCTTTTTTTTAAAGACACAGGTTTAATTCTTGACCATTGCTGATCACTTGTTTCACCTTAGACAAGTCAGCTAACTTTTTTCATCTGCTCCACAGATCTGTGGTAAGGATTAGATGAGATGACATCCATGAAACATATGACAGAATACCTTGCCATAGTGGTTACTCAGCATGTAAGTTTTTTGTTTGTTTGTTTGAGACAGAGTCTCCCTCTGCCGCCGGGCTGGAGTGCAGTGGCGAGATCTCTGCTCACTGCAATGTCTGCCTGCTGGATTCAAGTGATTCTCCTGCCTCAGCCTCCCAAGTAGCTGGGATTACAGGCACCCAGCACCAAGCCCAGCTAATTTTTTGTATTTTTAGTAGAGACGGGGGTTTCACCATGTTGGCCAGGCTGGTCTCGAACTCCGGACCTCGGGTAATCTGCTCGTCTTGGCCTCCCAAAGTGCTGGGATTATAGGCGTGAGCCACCGTGCCTGGCCTAGCATGTAGTTTTTAAAAGGCAAAGCAATTGAAATTTGTAAAGCATTTGGATATCTACAAAAGTTATTTGACGAGAACATACAAGGGGACATCTCTTATGGGCTAGTGATTTTAGGATTGTCCACTTGATGTTAACTAAATATCCTTCCTAATGCCAAACCAGCACACAGGGTGAGAATACGTGATGCTGGATAAAAAAAAAATTTGATTTCTCTATCAAATGTACTTTTAGGTAAAACAAAAAAATACGCACAGTATAAAATATTTGTACGGGCAAATTTGTTAATTTCAAATATTATATTTTTTCTATTCTAAAGCATCCATTTGATTTTTTTATATTCCAATTTTCAGCTTAATTCTTGATCTTTTCTACTATTTGAACAAATTTCCCTCTAATGTGTAAATCACTTCTCTCTCTCTCTCTCTCTCTCTCTCTTAGCTTTTAGTAAACCTAATGTATCCTAGGTATTGGCATGCCTTATAGGTTTGGATATTGTGAATAAAAACAAAGAACTGTAGAGGCTCTTATTGATTTCTCCCAAAGAGAGTTATTTTTTCTTCTGGCGAGTAGATCTTGTTAAGATGTGATTTTATATGCTCTGTTAGGGTTAGGCTATAAAGTTTTCTGCCTTATTTGATCTTACGTGTTGCAGTTAGTTCTTGTGAGTTTTTCCCACTTCTGGTGCCTGCCCCATCTGAGTCTCTAATAAAATTTTGTGATGTTTACTGATGCCTCTCTGCTTTGGTGGAGCTTAACCTCTATAACCTCTGTTTTCTCAATTCTGTATGCTGCAGAAATCTGTGAACAGCTTTCTAGCTTCCCAGCTGCTCTGGGTTTTGTAGAGTCTCACTAGACCATGGGCAGCTCATGTACTGACCAATAGCTTGTGGGGAATACATATATCGTTATCTGAGCTTCTTTTCTGAGTTTGACTCAGTCTCTGGAAATTTGCTGCATAAGTCTGGGCCCTGACCACCAATATCTGTCTCCTCATCCCTGCAATACTTTCTACTTGGACCCAACTTCCACATGCTTGAATGTGGAAAAAAACGCTTTAGAGAAAAAGCAAGGGGAAATGTGGAGCTCACTTTGTATGTTTTGCTTCTCTCAAGGGTTACAGCACCTGTATTGCTTTCTCTCCAGTATCAAGCAGTTGTTTTATACATATTACCCAAAGCATATGTTTTGTGTGTCTCATTAATCAAGGACAAGATTCTCTATCATGGCCAGGACTGACTCCCCTTTACTCTTCAACTTACTATGATTTCCATTCTACTATTCCATTTAAGCTGTTCTTGATAGGGTTACCAATGACTTTCATGGTGCCAATACAGTGTGTTCTTTCAGCCCTTACCCTACTCTATCTCAGTAGCATTTGACACAGTTGACCACTTTCTCTCTTTTTTGGATTTCATGCCATATACCCTCGGTTTTCCTTTTATTTCAGTGGCCATTCTTTCTCAGTCTCCTATATTGAGTTAGCACTCCTTTACCCAGCTTTAATGCTGGACTTCCACAGCCCTCTAATAGGAGTCTTAGGTGCTCTTGTGTCCTACTTTACCATCCTTCCGTAGGTAATCCCTTTCAAATCCATGACCTAAATTTACCTCTTCTTATGATTGCCACAATATGCTGAAACTTTCAAGTTTATACTTCCAGCCCAGGCTCCACTTCTAAGCTTCACAACTTAGATCTATCTAGTGGTCTACTTGAGATCTCCACTTGGATGACTTATAAGGATTTCCAAACTTAACAGGTCTAAAACTGGACATTTTTGTGCTCTACCCTGACCCGCTGCCATACTTCCTTGGCAAGTTCCCCATCTCAGCAAAGGACATCTTTCTTCCCCTTGTGACCCTTGCCCCACACTTGAAATTAACCCTTGATTCTTCTCTCCCATCTAAATGCACCAGATTTCAGTGCCTTGTATTTTGGTCAGATTTTCAACTTCATGAGAGTCTCATAACTTTGCTCGCTGATGACCTGACTGTTGCTTTGCCCTGGACCAAGTCCACAATTCTGGAGCCCTCAGAATCTTTTCTGTTAGGGCACTTGAGGGCATAGGGGCTATGAACCCTGAAATCTCACTGTGTTGTAGCACAGCATAGATACAGAAATTTGTAAGCTAGACCAAAGTAATAATAAATATTAACTCATGTCATCTATGCTGTGTTTTAGATGTTTAGAACATTTAGGATTAATTTTTTAAAAAAATTTCCAAGAGCTTTAGATATGTTGAGAGCTAGAGCGGTGGGGTAAAGATAGATTCTATAAGGCTTGTCTTATGGAACATAGTTACCATTTCATGAAACAGCATTTGCAATTTCTGAAACTCTATTGACTGGATGGATCATCAATTTATGTTTTACAGGCTGAAATTTTAGGCTTTTGTCACTCATAGATAACTGAAAGCTTTAGATTTAGCATGGCCTCTAGTCTATTAAATGTCTTAAAAAATTAAAATGCTTATTAAAAAGAACAGTATATTTTAGCTAATGAGTTCGTAAAGAATGATCTGAATTGGGGGTGTCCAATCTTTTGGATTCCCTTGGCCACAATGGAAAAAGAAGAATTGTCTTGGGCCATACATAAAATACACTAACACTAATGATAGCTGATGAGCTAAAAAAAAAAAATCACAAAAATATCTTATGTTTTAAGAAAGTTTACGAATTTGTATTGGGCTGCATATGGCCTGCAGGCCACAGGTTGAACAAGCTTGGTCTAAAGAAAACGATATTTTTATTTTTTGTAAAATTGCTTTAGAACCCCTAGATACAGCCTAGGACCCACTGACCCTGGGTAACCTTGAGCAGGCCACTTACCTCCTCCAGCTTCATTTTCCTCATTTATGAAATGGTGAGCACGATGGCTCTTCATCTGCAACAATAAGTAGCAGTGGATATTTCCCTTGTGGCAGGCACTCTATGAAGTGACCTGCATCTGATTTCATTCTTACAACTATTCCTCTAGATATGAGGTAAAAAAAAATCATCTTCATTTTACCTGAGGCTTAGAGAAGATAACTTGCCAAAAGTCACACAGCTAGTAAGTGTAGCATCCAGACAGTTTGTCTGTCTCCAGAATGCAAAGCTTCTGACTACCACTCTGAGATGATCATGATCATTCTTCCCCAGTGGGCGCTTATGTCTTACTTACAGAGAGTGATGCTTAATTTTATGTGTCAACTTGACTGGGCCGTGGGATGCCCAGATACCTGTTTTGTGTTGCTGTAACAGATTACCTGAGACTGCCTAATTTACAAAGAACAGAAATTTATTTCTCATGGTTCCAGAGGCTGAGAAGTCCAATATCAAAGAGCCAACAGACTTTTGCGTCTGGTAAGGTCCTGGTTTCTATTTCCAAGATGATGCCTTGAATGTTACACACTCTGGAGGGGAAGAATGGTGTCCCTCACACAGCAAAACGACAGAAGAGAGACAGCCCACTCCTGCAAACCCCTGTTATAGTAGCATTAATTTATGCCCTTTAAATTTTCCATTAGGGCCCACCTCCCAACACCATTTCATTAGGGATTAAGTTTCTAATACATGAGCTTTGAAGGGAACAGAAACATTCAATTCATGGTGCCAGATATCTGGTTAAACATTATTTCTGCATGTATTTGTAAGAGTGGTTCTGGAAGACATTAGCATTTGAATTGGTGAACTGAGTAATGCAGATAGCCCTCCGCTGTGCAGGTGAACATCATCCAAACCATTGGGGGCCTGAGTAGAAGTTAAAGGCAGAGAGAAGTCGAATTCTCTCTCTTTGCCTGACTGCTTGAGCTGAGACGTTGCTCTTCTCCTGTCCTTGGGCTGAGATTTACGCCATTGGTGCTCTTGGTTCTCAGGCCTTCCAACTAGTATTTATACCACTGGCTTCCCTGTGTCTCCAGGTTGTAGATGGCAGATTGTGGGACTTAGCCTACTTCTCTATCTATCTATCTATCTATCTATCTATCTATCTATCTATCTATCTAAAATTGGCCCTGTTACTCTAAATGACCTTGACTAATAAAGATTTTGTTGTTGTTGTTGTTGATGGAGTCTCATTCTGTCACCCAGGCTGGAGTGCTGTGGCGTGATCTTGGCTCACTGCAACCTCCACCTCCCGGGTTGAAGCAATTCTCTGGCCTCAGCCTCCTGAATAGCTGGGACTATAGGTGCCTGCCACCATGCCCAGCTAATTTTTGTATTTTTAGTAGAGAAGGGGTTTTGCCACGTTGGCCAGGTTGGTCTCGAACTCCTGACCTCAAGCGATCTGCCCCTCTCGGCCTCCCAAAGTGCTGGGATTACAGGCATGAGCCGCTGCGCCTGGCCCCAATAGAGCTTTTAGGCATTGGAAAGCAGCCCAGATTTCAGTCAGGCCTCTGCCTTTGAAAACTGTCTGCAGTTTTGTCTATAGTGGTCTTTGAGATTGTGAGGGGACCCTTATTGGAGTGAGACATCTCTGTTGCCTTCTAGTGCAGTTTGGGTGTAGCCTGATTCAGCAGCTCACTATTTGCTTCTAGAGATGAATAATGGGAGCTTAGACTGGCCTTTGTTCCTCAATTTTTGGCTCATCTCTGTCATTTCTTTCTTTCTAGGATATATTTGCAATTATAACAAAGAAATCATGCAGACTCTAAGCATTATGTTACCTCTTTAGCATTTTCTCCACTGAATCATGTCCTAGTTTCCCTTGGCAACCATGCAGATTAACCTCTTACAAACCAGGTCTCTCCATAGTTTTAGCATTTCATAACTGAATCCTGTTTGTCAATATAATTGCATGTTATCCAGAATCCAGATTATCCTTACAGTGGTCTTTAAGAGACAAGGTATTTGTCCATTTATCATTTAATACCTTTTCAATCCTGATGGTAAGAAGAACAGAACAGGAAGAAGGAAAGGATGATAAGGTGGCAGGGTAGTGTGTTTTTAGACCAGCAGGCTTTTGTGATATCTACTTAATCACACTGTGTTTGGTTGGGGTGGGTGGGGATTCATCTACTCCTCCACACAGGGCCAGTAGAATCAGTAAATATTCGTGCTAGAAAGGATCACACAGCATTCCAGTCACAAAAGAGATGAGGACATAGAGGCCCCTAGGGGCTCATTGCCTTGTCCACGGTCCAGCAGTCACTATACATTTGACTAGGACCAGCTCCCCTGGCACCAGTGCTCTCAACCGTGAGTAGTGTCGCCTCTTCCACCCCCAAACCACTACAAAACCGAATCTGTGGATTGGGATTCATACCTTTTGTGTTTCTGAAAAAGATACGTTTAAGTCTTCACCCCTGGCACCTGTGAGTATGACCTTATTTGGAAATAGGTTCTTTCTGATGTAATCCAGCTAAGGTCATATTAAATTAGGATGAACCCAAAATTCATGGACTGGAATGCTTACGAGAAGAGGAGAGGACATGAAGAGACTCACGCAGAAGTCCATATGAAGATGGAGGCAGAGATTGGAGTGATGCGCTCAAGCCAAGGAATGCTAAGGATTGCTGGCCACCACCAGAAGCTAGGAAGAGGCAACGAGGGAGTCTCCCTGAGAGTCTTTGGAGAAAGCATGACTCTGCCACCACCTTATTTTAAACTTCTAGCTTTCAGTCCATGAGAGAATAAATTTCTGCTGTTTCAACCCACCCAGTTTGTGGTTATTTGTCATGGCAGTCCTAGGAAACACATACAATGTGGTTATTAAGTATAATTTTATTTTTCTGTAATTCAACATAACATTTATTTTTGCCTCAGTTCTTCTGGGTGTGTAGATACTTAAGCTTGGTCAATTTAGGTTCACCAGGCCGGGCACGGTGGCTCATGCCTGTAATCTCAGCACTTTAGGAGTCCGAGGTGGGTGGATCACTGGGTCAGGAGTTCAAGACCAGCCTGGCCACATGGTGAAACCCTGTCTCTACTAATAATACAAAAATTAGCTGGGCGTGGTGGCATGCACCTGTAGTCCCAGCTACTTGGGAGGCTGAGGCAGGAGAATCGCTTGAACCCAGGAGGCAGAGGTTGCAGTGAGCCAAGATTGCTCCGCTGCACTCCAGCTTGGGACATGGATTGAGACTCTGTCTCAAAAAAAAAAAAAAAAATTTAGGTTCACCTGCCCATTTCTTCCCCCAAAGGCGGTGTTAAGCTATAAACCCTTCACGCTTGTCCCACCCAGTTGTTTGTGTCCCCTTCACCTCTACAGGTCCGATGGCCCTAGCAGCTTCCAGCATATCACAGGGTACAAGATTCTCAGACAGGCAGTTTACACGTCTGTACACCTAGCTGTGGTGTATAAACATTTTCTCAGGGAGAGTTTCGTTGTCATGACAGATCTGCCAGGGACGAAGGCTTTGAGTCTCCCTTCCCAAGACCACTATGTATTTCTCTCATCTTTACCCTACCTCTGCAATCATGAAAAATAATTAGATCCAGTTTTCCCCAACCCCACTTCTTAGCACTCTTCCTATACTCTTTATCTATGCTCTGAATTCTCTTTCTTAGACTTTAAGACCACAAAACCCCAATATTCGACTGCCTTTTCAGTTTTCTGTTTTGTCACATCCCTCCCCTGAGGCAATGACTGTAGAATATTTGCTACAAGGGAGAAGGGGAAGGAAAGTGAAAAATACTGATGGAAAACCAAAAAATATTGGTTAATTAGTCAAAACTATTTTCTAAATAAATGTGATATGGGAGAAAAATACAGTCGTGATGTCAAAGAGACATGGAATCAGATACCGATGATGCTACTTTCTAGCTTACTAGGGCAAAGTACATTTCATCTCTGCAGCCTTTGCACTCCCATTTACTCATATGGGGAAATTAAAAGCCCCATCTTCTAGAGTTGTTGCGAGGATTAAATTTAGTGAGTTAATATATGCAAAGTCAAAGTGTCTCCCAGGCTGGTTTGGTGGCTCACACCTGTAATCCCAACACTTTGGGAGGCTGAGGAGGTCGGATCACCTGAGCTCAGGAGTTCAAGGGCAGCCTGGGCAACATAATGAAAACCCATCTCTACAAAACATACAAAAATTAGGCGTGCATGTTGGCGTGTGTCTCTAGTTCTAGCTACTCAAGAGGCTGAAGTGAGAGAATCTCTTGAGCTTGGGAGGTGGAGGTTGCAAGTGAGCAGAAGTGACAGAGTGAGACACTGTCTCAAAAACAACAACAACAACAAAGTGTGTCCTTTCAGCAGAAGCATAAAAACAAACAAACAAACAAAAAACACGTAGCCAATATTGATGCAGAAATTATTTAAGACTGAGCTGATTTCCCAGTTCTTCCTAAGTGGTTCTTTAGGAAGACCCATAAACCCTCCATAAAGACACCGGCTATTGAGTTTGAATATTCATGTTGAATGTGGTTTCCCACCAGTAAGCAAGATGCTACTATGGCAGATGTCTGGCTCTTTAATTTTCTTCCTTTTGTGAAGGGAGAAATAGCCTGATGATGAGAGCTAGATTTTCAATTCACTATTATCTCTATTTTTGAGCTTTTGTGCACTTTGGCCCTTGGTCTTTCCTGTATCCAGGGGAATATGCTACAGACGGAAAAATATTTTTATATTTTAATCTGCCTGGCTCTTAAATTGTAACACTACTGAACACTCCTCTAAGGAATTAGGTGTGCTCTAGTGCTTTTTCAGAAGCTGGCAAAATCCAGGCAGAGCTGGGGTTGACTTTGCCAGATTTTCCTTCTCTAAGAAGTTGTCATGCAGGAGCTGAGCCACTAGATGTCACAAATGGGGAAGTGTTCTGCCCTGCTCTCTGCGGTTTTCTCCTGCAAGGAGAGGCAGTGAGACCCTATACTCCTTCTTCAGCTGGAGTGACCATCAGCGTCATACCAGTGACAGGCTGGGAATGTCTGTGGTCCATCTTTATAGCCAGGAAGACTATACATCTTCTCTATCCACACTCACATATATATATATGATATCTATTTAATATATGTGCTTATATATTTAATATATGTGCTTATTTTATATATATATATATATATATATATATATATATATATATATATATATACTTGGAATACTGGCTATCCAGGATAAGAGGAAGATAAATGATATAATTGAGGCAAACACTACGGAATTACCACCTTAGGAATTTTTTGTATTGTCTTGATAAGTGGTTCCCATAGTGACCTATGACATGTGAGGGACTGTGCTAAGGCCTAGGAAAGAAATGACAAACAAAAACAGTGGGTTAGGGCAGAATGCAGAAAGGTGGACTGTAGTGAAATCAGAAACACAAAGACATGTAGTGAGTTTTCCTGTAGCTAAAGATATTTACCTTGAAGAATTGGCCTTTCAAAATTATTTGTTTTATGTTAATGTCTTTTATTTTATGAAATGATAATATTAGTAGGAAGAAGTTTTTATTTTAATATTCTTATTGGAAAAATTAAAACTTGGCAGCTTTATTATGGTGTTCTAATTTTTTTTTTTTTTTAATTCTCTGGTCTTTAAAGTCTTCAAGTCTGGGAGCCCTTGTGTCTGACATCTCTAAATGTCTATACTCAGAACTGAAGATGCCTCCCATTACAGATTATTATCCTCATTACACCCTCTTCTCAACCAGTATCATTGGAGAAGCCAACAGAGAAAGTAGAAGGAAACACCCTCCAGATTAATTCAGATAAAGCTGAAAATAAATAGAATTATATACTAGGTAATGAATAGCATTAAAGCTTTCCCTAGGGAAACAATTTTACTAAAGTACAGGGTTTTGCCAGAAGATTGTTGCTACATATTAAATTTGGATCTCTAAAATTGCTTTATAGAACATACTTTATTTTTAATAGGGTCTCTAGTGGAATTTAACCTATCCAGTATTTTTCTGGTAAACAGTTCCAGGAGGTGGAGTGATACCAGATTGGATAACTCTCTACCTAAAATAACTGACCCTATCAAATGAACACAAGGTTCTCCTTTCCCATCATAGTCCATTTGGCTCAGATCATTTGAGACTCTATAGACAAACCTGTTGCAAAAGGATGTTTGGTTAGTGCCCATGAGAATAAAAAAATGATCTACAAGCCAGGCCTGGTGGTTCGTGCCTATAATCCCAGCACTTTGGGAGGACAAGGTGGGTGGATCACCTGGGGTCAGGAGTTCCAGGCCAGCCTGGCCAACATGGTGAAACCCTGTCTCTACTAAAAACACAAAAATTAGCTGGGCATGGTGGTGCGTGCCTCTAGTCCCAGCTACTCGGGAGGCTGAGGCAGGAGAATCTCTTAAACCTGGGAGGTGGAGGTTGCAGTGAGCCGAGATCATGCCACTGCACTCCAGCCTGGGCAACAGTGCGTGACTCCATCTCAAAAACAAAAAACAAAAAACAAAAAAAACTATGAATATCCAAAAACTAAATGTGACCATATTAGTGTATGTACCAATAGTCCTCAGGTAGAGAACTTGCTTTTATACTGGGAACAAATGTTGAAGAAATCAAGAATATGGATGAATGAGAGGAAATAGCTGTTTTCTCTAGAATGGTGAGCAGGACAAAAAGTGAAAAGAATTAAGCCCTTCAGGACAGCTATGATATACTCCAGGATAAACAATACTTCATGATAAGCATCTTCTTGGTGCCTACAAACATGAAAAATGCTGGATGAAGAGCAGGGCTCTCCCTGACTGGAGGATTCTTTTTTTTTTTTTTTTTTTTTTTTGAGACGGAGTCTCGCTCTGTCGCCCAGGCTGGAGTGCAGTGGCGGGATCTCGGCTCACTGCAAGCTCCGCCTCCCGGGTTCACGCCATTCTCCTGCCTCAGCCTCCCAAGTAGCTGGGACTACAGGCGCCCGCCACTACGCCCGGCTAATTTTTTGTATTTTTAGTAGAGACGGGGTTTCACCGTTTTAGCCGGGATGGTCTCGATCTCCTGACCTCGTGATCCGCCCGCCTCGGCCTCCCAAAGTGCTGGGATTACAGGCGTGAGCCACCGCGCCCGGCCTGACTGGAGGATTCTAAAGGAAGCAGAGTTGGCATGGGCTGGCAAGGTGGTGGTGCACAGATTATTCGAGTACAGGCACAGCACTGTGTACCTGGACAAGTGTCCAAAAGAACAGAGCAATTTCCCCAAGACAAGGAGACATATGTGATTGACATGAAATGGCTCTTATTGGAAGTGCTCAGAAGATGGTCTTTAGGTGTCATCCCTTGAGGAAGTGATTGTGCTCCAGGTGTTCACATCTTGCCCAAGGACACATCCTTCCTAGGGCAGCCCACATCCAATGACTGACTGCTATATAAAGGCTCAGACTCATTTCACCACAATGTGGGACTACTCTGAAGGGCCATTTGAACTCCAGGACTCCTCAAGGAATCAGCTGAAGCTGTGCTAGTCTGAATCTTTTTGTCCCTTCAAAATTTATATTTTGAAACTTAATTCCCAATGTAATAGTATTAAGAGATGGAGCCTTTAGAAGGTGATTAGATCATGAGGACTCCACCCTCATAAATGGGATTAATGCCCTTATAAAAGGGGCCTCAGAGAACTTGTTTAGCCTCTGTTACATGAGGACACAGCAAGAAGGTGCTATCTATGCAGCAAAGAACCCTCAGCAAACATTACATTTGCTGGTGCCCTGATCTTTAAATTTCCAGCCTCCAGAACTGTGAGTAACAAATTCTTATTGTTTATAAATTACCCAGTCTAAGGTATTTTGTTATAGCAGCCCACATGGACTAAGAAGAAAAGGGGTATCAAGAGTGGGGTGCTGATGTAACAAATATCTAAAAATGTGGAAGCATCTTGGGAACAGGGTAATGGATACAGGCTGGAAGAATTTGGAGCTGCATGCTACAAAAAGCCTGCATTGTTATACATGGAACATAAAGGTGGATTCTGGTGAGGGCTCAGAAGAAGAGGGGAGACGTAGAGAAAGCCTCAGTCTTTTTAGAGATTACCTAAAAGATGGCAGGCAGGATGTTGGTGGAATTATGGATGGTAAAAGCCATTTGGATGAGGTCTAAGATGGAAATGAGAAATATGTTATTAGAAACTGGAGGAAAGGTGATTCTTGTTATAAAGTGGCAAAGAATTTAGTTGAATTGTGTTCATGTCCTAGTGCTTTGTAGAAAGTAGAACTAACTGATGAAAGAAGATATTTGGTGGAACAACTACCTAAGCAAATTGTTGAGGTACAATATGGCTTCTCTTGACTGCTTATTGTAAAATTTGAGAAGATTAAATTTATAATAAAAATGAAGCAGAACTTGTGCCTGGCCATGTTGTAAAGAACAAAAAACATGTTCAGGACAGAATACCAAGGGTGTAGTCAACCTAACCTTTGATAAGGAGATTAGTATAGATAGAAGGAAGTCAGATGCTACTTATCAAGATGATGGAAGAATAACCCTGAATGCATTTCAGAGATCACTGGGCTTGCCACTTTCATCACAGGCCCAGAGTGCCAAGGCCTTGGGGACAGAATTATGTCAAAAAAGGAGACTTCAGTGCCTGTGGGGCTTTGGTGCTCACCCTGTGCTGCCTAAAGTCTGCTCCCCTCATTCTGGCACAGCACTCCTTAACCATACCATGTGGTTCAAGCTGATTTAAGTGTAGCTCAGGCCACCTCTCTAGAGGGCAGAGATGGTAAACCTTAGCTGCATATGTTCAATGCCATCTCCAAAAATGTGAGGAATGCACAAGCTGTTCAGCATTACTACCTCCATTTAGATTTCAAATGATGCCCTGTTGAGTCTTGGGTCCCTGGTGGAGAACTGCACACAGGAATGGGGTCACCATAGAAAGTCCCCACTAGGGCAATGACTAGTGAAGCTGTGGAGGCAGGGGCGCTGCAGAGACTCCTTACTAGGGCAATACCTAGTGGAGCTGTGAAAGTGGACTCACCCTCAAGAATCCAGCTCAGTAGAGGTAGCTGGGTGCAACTCCACTCTGGGAGAGATACATGCACAAAACTCAACCCATGAGAGTTGTGGTATTGGCCACACCCAGCAAAGCCATGGGAGCAGGGCCACCTAGAGCCTTGAGGTTCCAATTCCTGCCCTAGTGTGTCCAAAAGATAGAACATCAAGTCAAAGAACATTATTCTCCAGCCTTAAGATTTAATGTTTGTCCTATTGAGATTTGGACTTGCTTGATACCCATTAACCTTTTCTCTTTTTTTCTAATTTCTTCCTTTTGAAATGGGAATGTCTATTCTATGCCTGTCCTACCATGTATGTATTTTGGAAGCACATAATTTGTTTGATTTCCCAGGCTCACTGATGGAGAGAAATTTACCTCAGGGTGAATTGTACCTTGAGTCTCACCTATATTTGATTTAGCTGATATTTAGGTGAAATTCTGAACTTCAGACTTTTGAGTTCATGCTGAAATGAGTTAAGACTTTGGGGCTGTTGGAATGAATGTATTTTTCATGTGAGAAAGACATGAACTTGGAGGTGCAGGGTCAGAATATTAAGGTCTGAATATATCCCCTCAAATTCATGTGCTGAGATTTAATTCCCAATGTAATAATTAAGAGGTGGGTGTCTTTGAAAAGTGCTTAGGTCATGAGGGCTCCACTCTTACAAATGGGATTAGTGCCTTTATAAAAGAGGCCCAAGAGAGCTCATTTGGCCTTATACCTTGTGAAGACACTGCAAGAATCTATGAACAGCATCACGAAGCAGAGAGCCCTTACCAGATACCAAATCTGCTGGTGCCTTGATTTTGGGCTTCTCAATCTCCAGAACTGTAAGAGATAATTTTTTGTTGTTTATAAATTACCCAGTCTAAGGTATTTTGTTATAGCAGCCCAAACAGACAAAGACAGGCTGCTTACCTGTCCTGTATGATAGCCTGCCTTCCTCCTCTGCTAATTCTTTCCTTTTCCTCTCCTACATGGGCGCTCCCTAATAAACAGTCCATGTGCTAAGCTCTCCCTCAAAGTCAGCTTCTTGGAGAAACCAACCTGCACTTGAGTAACATTCAAGGTTTTTCTTCTCATCTTGAAGCAAAACTGGGACACCTTTTAGCTGATGTAGCTGGAGGAAATACTGGTTACAAGTATAAACAAACAGTGCTACTGTACATAAAACAGTAGATTCCAAAAACAAAAGTAGGGAATAATGTTTTATTATATTCTAATTCCAGTTAACTTGGTGAACTCAGTTCTTTTCAAAATCCAGTTTAAATGTCCATGACCCTGTTATTTTATCTGTAGCTTTCTCAGAAAAAAATCAATCTCTTCTTTTATTTTGCTCATAGAGCACTTAATACCAGTGTCTTACCAAGGGTATGGGAGATGGAAGGGGGTTTGGAGAAGAGCAGTCAGTCCTGGGCAGGTAACAAAGGGGTACGTTGTCTGTGGAGAATTTAAAAACTATAATAAAAATGACTAGAAGTCAGCCTGCTTTGTATTATCACTGTGCTTGTACAATTTTAAATGATGTCAGTAACAAAATACTCCTTCCATCCATGGAAAGTCGTTCCCCCTTTCTACCCTCACAACACTTACACACATATACTCCCTTACACCTTGTTATACTATGACTCAGTGTATACCTTAGTTATGGCATACATCAGCCGCCTTGCCTTATAGTATTAACTCCCAGACTATGAGTTCTTAATGTCAAACTTAACTACGGCTGATCTTTGCCCTCTCCTTTTCATCTCTGTATGATCCTTATTAAAGTAGCTGATCCAGAGTAGACACCAATAATTTTTAGTTGAAGAAATAAAGGACTGTAATTCAGTTCTTCATCCACGTGTGGGAGTAGCTAATTAGCACAGAAATAATAAAGTCTTCCATCCCCAAAGCTCAACCAATGTCCCAAATCAATGCCATTATGATTCCCTCAAATGTGTTTCTCTTAGTTTTCCACATAGTTATTAAGTCAAAACTTCACTTTTTCTGGTGATGTGGTTCAGAATACACTAACCCAAAATATGACTGTAAGAGACCAGAATATTTTTACTAAAAAGCCAGGGGTTTAGTTTAGGTCCCATTGCTTGTCCCACAGAAAGCCAATCACCAGCGCAACAAGTATTGCCAGGGAAGAAGGCTTTTTATTTGGGGGACTTCAGCTGAAGAAGTGAGAGCCAAACCTCAAATTTGTCTCTCCCACTTGACTAAATTTGGGGTTTATATGGTACGGAAGGAATATAGCTATGTTCAGAGAAAACAGGAATCAGAAACAAGTAAGAAAGCAATCAAGATGGATGAGGGGCCTGGCTTCTCATTGTCTGGATTTGAGGAGTTGCAGTTTTTGCTGGAGGGTTGGTTTCCTGAGGAAGGAAATAGAGCAAGACAAATTTAAGTTTCAAGTTTTAAAACCAGGGAGAGTCAATTTCTATGTTTATTAAAAAAAAAACATAAACATTAGTTCCATGGGACAATTGAGCCAGTTTTGATATGCCACCCCAAATAAGTCTCTTTGGCATATGGATTATTTTGAGCTAGTTATTTTGAGAAATTGCTGACTAAGGAGTAGTTCCAAAATGTTATCCTTTGGTTAGAGAAATTTACATCTATCAGGAAATCTCCATATATAAGAGTGTCTCCCTTTCTGCACCAGGAAAAGTAGGCTGACTAAATCACTAGAGATTCTTAATCAATGGAAAAGTTATCAACTTAAATCTGTCCAAAAATCCTTACCAAAGACACCTGGTGTAAGGGGGAAGTGGTCCTGAGTATCAGCATGTGCTCAGCCTATCAAGCAGTGTGTCTGGTGCCAGGAGGTGATGTTCTGTCTCAAGGTGATATATCTATCTTCTCACAGATGTCCTGCAGAGTTGGCTTTTTTTGATTCACAATCAAGAGAATGGTGAAAAGTCTGAATGAGAGAAGAGAAGGGAAAGGGCTAGAGGAGCAGACGGCTAGGACTGAGAAAGGAGTCTTTTAGGAGAGTTCGGGTGAGAAAGGACCAAAGCGGCCACAGGTTGGGAAGGAAGGGCTAGGGGAGAAATGGGATTTTTAAGAAGCATTGCTCAAATATAGAACCTGAGCTACTTTGAAATTTCTTTTGATTGCTAGGCTATGTTTTCTTTGTCTGCCATAGTGTTAGCAAAATCACTTTACATTTCAGACTCTATGTCTCAATTTAAGTAGGTAAACCATCAGTTAAAGTCTGTAACTGCCTTCCAGGTCAGTGTGTCTGGGACAATGAAGGAATCCATTCATCTTTGAATTCACCAGCTATTTGACCTCGAGAAAGTTAACACTTTTTCAAAGGTCTGCTTTTTTCATCTGCAAACTAAGGTAATAATGGCACCTCTCCCATGAAGTGATTGTGAGGATTAAGTGAAATCACGTATGAAGGCAGCTCTCCGCTCAGCCTTTGTCAAAGAGGGAGTGCTAAATAAATGATAACGTCCTGTTATTGTTTATGTTGTTAGAATAATGAAAATCAAGCAGAATTCTTGGCAGTCTCAAAGAAAAATTATGTGTCCTAGCAAACTAGATGGAGCCAAGAAGAACCCCTGGGGCTAACTGAATTACAGTGACTGGAATCAAAACATTCTACTCCTTGCAGTGGTTCCTGTCATCTGCAGACGTAACATATTTTTATTTCTAACTGCAAACATGTCATATTTTCCCTAAATAGTAGTTTCTTATGTTAAGCATTTCATATAATTTTAACATTATTCTGTATCTCATTAGCTTAAGTTTTTTTTCTTCCATATTCCATCTTGTATGCTTGCTTCTACTCAATCTTCCTTCCATCAAAATAATATAAAGACTGTAAAACTCCTCCAAATTTGAATTCAGTGATGAAAATGAGCTTAACATCCCACCTCTTTTCTCTCACAATCGTTGCCCTTTCTGTACTGCTCCTTACCTTACACCTTAGACATTTCACCTGAGAATGACTTGCTCCTCAAGATCTCAGCTCTTTCACCTTCAGAGGTAAAAGAGGGAGAGGCCTTTAATCAGTTGAATCTTCTTGTCTCATAAGGAAGCAATAGCAATAACAACAAAACCACACTGCCTCAACAGCTAGTTGTAATTAGAAACCAGATACAACTTAAAATAAAATTCAAACAAATAAAAAAAAACACTGGGACAAAAGCTCTTTGAGCCATTGTGGTCCAAGGCGCTGCTTTCCTTTCACTTTCTCCTACAGCTTGCTCTTTGCTTGTTGTGTTGCAGAGTTCTGTCCTCTCACACCATTTCCATAGGTGCATTGTTCTTAATCAATGGTCTGAGGACAGTAGCACAAAAGCTTTCATCCTGGAGTCCATGAATTTCAAAACTTTTAACGATGTGTGTGTGTGTGTGTGTGTGTGTGTGTGTGTGTATTCGTGTGCACAGGCAGATATTTTCTGGGAAAAGGATCCTATCTATCAGCAAAATCCCAGATGCCTCTCCAAAGTAAGTCATACTTTGCAGGACTTAGATGGTTTATCCAACTCTTAATTCCATTTACTTGTTTTCTTCCTGCTTTTCTCATTGCACTTACACTACTTTCACACACTAATGGTTCTATGTAAGCATTTTAGATTTCAAAGCAGAAATATTTCTTTCTTTTTCACTACTGACTGAGAGGATTATCTTTTAGTTCAATGCCTATATAGTAGGCATTTCAATTCAAATGACATTTTCAAACAGTGCAATGCCTGGTGATACAAGAGAGAATTAGGCATGACTTCTGCTGTCCAGGAGCTTATAATATAACAGGAAGGCAGATAATGTTAAAGAAAAACAACTACAGTAGCAGCAATGAAGAATTAAACATGGAGAGTTATAAGAAGGATAGATGAGGAGGTTCTAAATGTGCCCAGGAAAGTTAGGATAAACCTGTTGAAATAGGTGACATTCAAATGTGTCTGGAAAGTCCTTGGTGAGTTTTATAGGGAAAACAGGTAGGAAAGAACATTCCTGGCAGAAATGGAAGCAACGGTGACACAGTTTTGCTCTGTGTCCCCACCCAAATCTTATCTCGAATTGTAATCCCCATGTGTTGAGGGAGGGACCTAGCAGGTGGTCATTAGATCATGGGGGCGGTTTCCCTTGTGCTGTTCTTGTGATAGTGAGTCCTCAAGAAATCTGATGGCTTAAAAGTGGCACTTCCTCCTTTACTCTCTCTCTCTCCTGCCACCATGTATGACGTACCTTGCTTCCCCTTCACCTTCTGCCATGATTGTAAGTTTCCTGAGGCCTCCCCGTTCATGTGGAACTGTCAGTCAATTAAACCTCTTTCCCTTATAAATTACCCAGTCTTAGGTATTTCTTTATGGCAGTGTGAAAGTGGACTAATACAAACAGTTAGTTTTGGTATCTCTGAGGCCTGAGGTGAATGTAGGTGTGGTGGGACCTGGGACTGGAAGGTCACACTGGAGTCATGTGAACGATCCCAGTTGAATGACCTGGGACATCAAGCCAAATCATATACGCATATATATGGGCATGTGTGTGTGTGTGTGCACATGTGTGTGTGGTGTGTGTGTTGCATCCTTATCTATGTGCCTATGCAGAGAAAGTATACTTTGGGTAGAAGTCTGCTAAGTTGCCAAGCAGTTCCAAGGCTGTGGAAGACAGGAAGGCAGAAGTTGAGCAGAAACAGACCATTCGGGAACTGAGGAGTACAGCATCTGAGGCCTAGAAATACAGGTCCAAGTTCAAGTTGGAGATGGAAACAGTTCCCTGAGGCATGAGAGAGGACAGGAATCTGCCAGAAATTAAATTTGTTATATACATTATTCAATTCTATGAACATTTAAAAAGGCATCATGAATATAGATCCTTAAACATTTCTGTTTGTTATTTAAACTGGGCTCTTTCAGCTTATTTTGTCAGGAAGATTCCTGAGTTTTGTGAAGAGCATTGTGCAGAGTGCACATGGATTAAGTCATGTAATTATGTTCTTAATGAAACCCTATTATGCACTGATAAAGGTCAAACGTAAAATGACTATTTTTGAAAAGGTGACTTTCACATAATTCCATTATATTTTAATAAGTAGCATGGTAGTAGACACTTCATTCTGAGCACATCTTAAGTGCTTTTGCAAACAGGCCTACATGTTATTTTCACTGATAAACACAGTACTGAGGGCAAAGCTTACAGGCCAATTCTGAGACTAAACATCGTAGTTGTTTGTATGTTACAACACTCTGTGAAAGAAGCCTTTGCCCAGGGCTTTTTAGAGCTAGTTTAGCTGTCAAATAAAGTTACTAAATGGACTTCTAATATACTGTTTATATCAGAACCTTAGGATAAGGTTGCAGGTATCCGAAAATTGGCTATTGGAGCAAGATAAATGTGTCTGTTATCACTGTTCAAGGGGCTACATTTGAATCATTGTTTTAATTTGCAGAACTGAAGTATTTTTAGGGAGGTGCAGATAAAATAAAACTGAATTAAGTTTAGTGGGCAGAGTAACTGTGGAAAGGTTTTTGCTCTAAAAATGGGTTTTACCTAAGGCCCTTTTCATGATAAAGATTAAAAATTTTATAGGCTGATGTTTTATTTGCCTTTTAGTTTTTGTTTTTCTTTTTCTCTGCCGAGTAATATCTACTAGTTGTCTTTCATGATGACACTTGTTTCTTCCATTGTTACTTTGATGATTTTGTCTGAGCATGTGGCTGGTGCATGGGTTTAAATCAGGAAACCCCAGGGGTCTTGCAGGAAGCAGGATATGTGTTAATGTTTTATAGGATATCACAGAATGACAGAATGTAGGATTTATTAAAAATGTGGGGAGGTTTTTGAGGGAACCACCATCTGGAAGTAGCTTTTCTCCTACAAAAGCCTACAATACACTGCAGAAATTGTGACCAGTAGAGCCACAGAGAGAAAAAGCCTTCCAGAAAGCCCCAGGAAGTACATTTGCAGATAAGAATTACCAGAGAGTAAACCTCTTAAGAGTCTGGCCTTCACAGGCCTCTAGATATATTAGATACAGACTTTTACCAGAAAAACTGAACCGTGTTAATAATGGCTGAAAGATATTTCTCCATCTTTGGTATATAAACCTTAACACAAAGATGTAATACATTCAGCGCAGGCTAGTGTGTGACACAGAAGAGGAGAAGCAGACAATCCAGACTTTAAAGTCACGGCAGAAGAAAACCTGGGCAGAACCTTTCTCCAAACCTATCTCCTTGAAGGACAGGGATATCTTTAAGGTCCAAGTGTAGAGAACTTGACTAGATTTAGGTAGATCTTTATAGATTTTTGCTTGGGTACTGGGTTGAAGAAATTATTGTAGCCACTGGCAGTGGAATTTCTGTTAAAGAGGAAGGTGTCTGTATTTAGGGAAATAATCTGTGAAATGGCTTGGGGTAAAAGATGAGAGCTTGGAGCCAGTCAACTGAAAAAATGGCATAGTGGTTGTGCATTAGGAATAAACAGGGATTTAGGGGAGAAGAGATTCACAATAGAAAAGTAGTGGCATGGATGAAGGACACATAGCAAAGACATTTCAGAATAGATATTCCTAAGGTTCACTTTCAAGTTTTGTTGTCATGCTTTGAATGTCTTTCTAGCTCACAAAGATGGTTAATGGAGTCTGTTGTGTACCCCCAAGCCTTTGTGTAATTGCTAAGACAAAACTTTTCTTTGGTTATTGGAGGTGTATGCAAAAGATAAAAGAATAAAAATATATGTAAGTGTTCTGACACTGATAAAGAACACTTTATCTCTTTAAGTACAGTTTTATGATGTTAAAATGTTAATCAGAATGTTTATCATATAGAGTCACATTTTAAAAGCAATTAAATAAAGAAATTATATATATAATAGCTAGGCTTCATAGGATTAAAGAATTCTATTTAGAGGTTTTCTGCAACTGTGATTTTCTGGTTTTTATTTTCCTTTTTTGGTAATCCATTTGAAATCATTTCTGGACTTAAAAAAATAACTTCACATAGTGGTTCAATGTGTCTTTATCCTACCTTTTATACAGCAAGTTATGATTGCTATTTAAAAAGCAATTTATTAGTTCAACGTTACACCTTGTCATAACCAATTAACTTTGGATGCTGGTGCTCTACTGTGATTTCTAAAACTTTATGTATCCCTTATATTGTTAAGTTGTATCCCTTACTTTGTTAGCTAAAAACATTTTGTTCATAAACGTCACCAGTTAGCAGTTTAACTCTCTACAAAGCTTTCTCTTGTTTAAATATGAAATCATAACTTATACTTTTATCCAGGGACTACTTATGTAGAAATACAGTTGTCTTAAATTGTGGATAAACCTCATCACATAAAATTATAGGATATTATACATTTCAAAATATTACCATCCTCCCCTAACAAAATTTAGTTATAATCAAAACTATTGCCTTGTAGAAGAACCCTACTAGCTTGTTTAGAAATGTTTTTCTCCTAAAGACAAAGACTAGGTCAGTGTTAGTTCAAAAAGATCAATTAGACAGTTGGTATGTGGCACTCAATGCTAAACACTTTTTACATAAAGATGGTATAAAGCTGGGCTCTGTGGCTCACACCTGTAATCCAAGCTACTTGGGAGACTGAGGTGGAAGAATCCTTTGAGCCTAGGAGTTTGAGTTCGAGGCTGCAGTGAGTTATGATTGAGCCACTGCATTTCATTCCAGCCTGGGCAGCAGAGTGAGACCCTGTCTCTAAAAAAGAGTTTTAAAGGTAAAATATAATAAATAAAAATTATCCAAGTAGTCACATTTTTAAAAGTGATTAAATCAATGCATCTTGGCACATATCAGGTTTTTAAAAATTGTTTTCTTTGTAGCCTAATCTTGAGTTGCTTGAGCAAATTTGTTTTGTATCTATTACTGCTAACCTTATAAGCCCATTTTTTCAGCATTTCACAAGGAGCAGCAGTCCTATATTATCATGATGTTGTTGTCAACACTAAAGGTTTATAATGTAATTTGTAACTGCAGGAAGTATTCCTGTTCTCAACACTTTAAAAAATGTGTACACATGAAAAAAATTAGTTTTCTCATCAATGTTGATAGAGAAATTGTTTACTTAAAATACTTGTTTCTTCAAGGTGTTGATAGTTATTCCATGAAGCTATTTGAGTAAATGCATAGTTTTATATTTTTGTTTGAAGAGAATGCATAAAAAAGAGCTGTTAAAATTTAAGGTATTTTATTATCATGGCTTATTTGTTTCAGAATCTAGAAAAACAAGTCATTTGACCTATAAAATGAATTATGAAGGTAAATTAACTCTGTGGAAGTCACAAAAATCCTCATTTGGGCATTGCATTTCTGAACAGTGATGGTGCAGATGTGCTTTTTTGATATTACTACAGTAATTGTATAGTATTCCTTATAACAGGAATGATGATACAGGGCTGGCTGCTTCTGATTTCTCTGCAGGGCTGCAGAGAAAAAAATTTATAAACCAGAATTTTTAATTTTTGGCTCAAGGCATGGTCAGAGGATCAGGAGTATCTTAAAATATATTTTTTATCTCTGATAACCACAGGGCTGTTGCACCTAACATAAGACCAGGGAGTTGCTGATGATTAAAAAAGTTGAATTTACAAATTTACTGGATCTCTTCTGTGGGTGAGAAGGAGGAAAATAGGATTGGAAGGAAACATTTATATTAGCTTGGGTCATACTGAGTGTCCCAAACCCAGTCCCCACAGCACCTCCTCTGCCAGCAGCAGCAGCAGCATCTCCTTTCTTGATGCATGAAGCTGGTCCTGCTTGCCTGGTAACCTGAAACAACCTTATCTGAAATGGTTATGCTGCAAAGGCAGTGCTGACTTTTCTCACGGCCTACCTTTTGCTATCTCTCATTGCTTCCAAATGATGGGGTACAGGAAGCCCTACCCCCAAATAAGGCATCTTGGCATACTGAGAATTTTAAGCTGAAGGAACTGAGAAAATGTAGAAGCAGAAATGTTTCCCTGACCTTCTACTCCTTCCCGCCTGACAGGTGTCCTGCCTTATACCTGGAGGATAGGAATGTTAACATACAGAGGCAAAGAAGAGTCGGACTAGGGTCTCCCAATTTCTTACCACTAGATCATATCCCCTTTTTGTCTAATCATACTTATACAAGAATGTCTGTTCTTTATCAAACTGACGCATAAAAATACTTTCACCTGGGTCTTCGGGTCTTCATTTCTATAGGATTTCTTGTCACATAAAACTTTGATTAAATAGATTTGTTATGCTATTCTCTTGTTAATCTGTCTTTTGTTATAGGAGTGTCAGCCATGAAACTTGCATTGGACGGGTGAGAAAAGATTCTACTTTTCTCCCCTACACAAATCTATATCTAGAGTCAGGTTCCAGCAAGACCCAGGAAGAAATACAAAATGTGACTTGAGAGGAGAATGATGACAAAAAGACTTGCAAGATTTTGACAGTTCATGTAATCAAAAAACCAAAAGGTAGATATCACCTCCCACTCATTAGGATGGTTACTATTAAAAAACAAAAAGAGAAAGAAAGAAAATAACAAGTGTTGATGAAGAAGTAGAGAAATTGGAACCCTTGTGCACAGTTGGTGGGAATGTAAAATGATACAGCTGCCATGGAAAACAGTATGGCAGGTCCTCAAAAAATTAAAAAATGCAATTGCCTCCCAGCACTTTGGGAGGCCAAGGCAGGTGGATCATCTGAGGTCAGGAGTTCTAGACCATCCTGGCCAATATGGTGAAACACCGCCTCTACTAAAAATACAAAAATTAGCTGGGTGTGGTGCTGGGCACCTGTAATCCCAGCTCCTCGGGACACTGAGGCAGGAAATTTGCTTGAACCCAGGAGGCAGAGGTTGCAGTGAGCCAAGATTGCGCCATTGCACTCCAGCCTGGGCAACAAGAGCAAAACTCTGTCTCAAAAAAAAAAAAGGAATTGCCATTCTATTCCAGCTGGATTATTCCAGCCATTCCTCTTCTGAGTATTTACCCAAAAGAATTAAAGCAGGGTCTCAAAAAGATATGTGTACACTCATATTCATAGGAACATTAGTCACAATAGCTAAAATGTAGAAGCAACCCAAGTGTTCATCAACAGATGAATGAATAAGCAAAGTGTGGTAGAGCCACACAATAGAATATTATTCAGCCTTAAGAGGAAAGGAACATCTGACATATACTACAACATGAATGAACCTTGAGGATATTATGCTAAGTGAAAGAAGCCAGTACTATGACTTGAATGTTCATCCCCTCCAAAACTACTGTGCTTGAAACTTAATCATCAATGCAACAGCACTGGGAGGTAGGGCCTAATGGGAAATGTTTAGGTCATGAGGACTCTGCCTTCATGAATGTACTAATGCCACAATAAAAAGGCATTAGGAGTGGGTTCACCCCCTTCTGCTATTCTGCTATGTGAGGAACAGCGTTCCTCCCCTTCCAAGGACACAACGTTCAAGGCACCATTCTGGAAACAGAGACTGGGCTGTTACCAGACACCAAGCCTGGTGGTACCTTGACCTTTTTGTCATACTGGCATTGTTGACTTTCATTTGTGGTGAATTGGGTTGGATTTTGGTGAAAGAAATGCACTGGTGGGTACAATATCTAGGTGTTTCAGATTCAGGGAGAAATTCTAATAAGGGCCATGAAAAGATATGGCTGCTGATGGGGGCCATTGATGAATTAGAGAAAGACAAAGAAAAACTGAGAGTAATTAATCATCAATCAAAAGTAAATTGTGAAATTCAGGAGATATCCTTGGAAGCACATAAAGAAACTCTCACTTCTGTTACTGTAAGGCAGAAAAAGCTAAGGATCAGGCTCAGGACTTAATTAGAAGAGTAGCAAAGCTTCAGAGAAGATATGTTGAAATTCTACTCCCAGCAAGTCTGTGTGTCAAAGTCTGGGCCAGCACAGGGAAAGCATGGGGTCTTGAGAGTGGAGTTTGATGAAATGATGTACTTTCATCAATTCTACCTCTGCTAGTGGAAATTGGATCAATTGCCAAGATGAGTCAGAACATAACCTGGCTAGGAAAGTGCGGGGTGTACTATGGAAGGAAAAGCTCTGTACCTGGAAGAAGCTATGGGACTTAGCTGACATATACCAGTAGGAGTTGGGACCTGATGAATTGGGCAGGATTTTGAGCATGCTGTATAAGGAGAGTAGAATGTGAAGTTGAGTAAGAGATAGTTTTTTCAACACGGGAACAGCCTCCTATGATACAAGATTCAACACCCTGACAATGACCTGGGAGATACTGTCAACACTCTGTAACGACAGCTCTTACAAGTTTGGGAAAAATAATGGCCCACACTAAGTAAAGTGTAAGTGTCAGAACTGCTGAAACAACTAGTGGAAAAAGATGAGGTCCAAGGCTTAAAGTGGGCATGCTATGTAGATGTATTAGGTAAGGACAGAAAACACACCAGCTGGAGCTTTCCAGAGGAAACTCCAGGTATGACGGATTTTGGGATGGTAAGTCCTATCACATTACCATTTAACTCACCTGTTTTGCTCATTAAGCTCACAGATGATTCTGTTAAATAACAGTGCATTATTGTAAGCTTAATAAAATAAGTGACTTCAGATGCAGCTGATGTTCCAAGTTTCTTCACTAGAATAATCAACAGAACCCTGCACCTGATAAGCACTTATCAAGTTAGCAAGACTTCCCCGCAATTTATTTTAACCTGAGCTTGCCGGAGCAGTTTTCTTTTATTTGACAGAGACTGTGCATCTTCATCGTTTTACATCAGGGCTACATCAAATAGTCTGAGTCCATGTCATATTTCAGTCCACAGAGACATTGATCACCTCTCCATAACACGAGGCATCTTCCTAGGACATTATTGACATTCATGGTAAGCCAGAGAGTAACAAACATCCTAGACCCCTTGGTAAGACATTTACATAGCAGAGGGTGAAATATAATCACATAAAAATTCAGATACCTGCCACTGAAATGAAGTTTCAGGATAGTCCAGTGGCCAAGGCATGAAAAGATAGTCTCTCCAAAGTGAAACATGAGTTCTTATACCTTAGACTCCTTATTATTCGAAAGGGACACAGCATGTGGGAGCAATATATCCCACATTTGGGTGCATTGCTCCAATTCACTTAATGAGAAGTACATAAAACTATAAAGTTTTAGAGTCCTGGTAGAGACTGAACTCATAACTAATGGATTGTAAGTATCTATGTGGCCTGAAATACTCTTCATGAACTGCGTATTTCTGATTCAGCAAATCATAGAATTGGATCAAGCCATCATTAAATGAAAGGAGTATATAGGAAATTGGGCTTAGACAGGTCTTGAAGGCATGAAAAAGTTATACAAGTAGATGGCTCAGCCACCCAGTGCAACCATTTGTTTGGCATTACCACCCCTGCCTCAGTCAATGTTTGTGACACATTTACTAAGGAAGAAAATATTTATGTCTGTTTTATAGGTGATTGTACCAGAAATAGACAGAAGTGGACTGTCATGGTATTATAGTCCTATTCAAGAGTGGCTCCCAAGCAGAGAAGGGAAACGAAATCCTTTCAGTGGGCAAATGTTCATCTATGTATCTTTCTGGTTTTCCTTTTTGCTGGAAGATAATATAAGCACACATATGAACATACACTGCTTTATGGGTTGTGGCTATGAATAGGTCAAGATAGTCAGAGGCCAGATAGCCCCTGAATCTTGGAAATCAGTATATGAATAAACCTCTCACAAGTGGTTCATGGGAATGTCACAAAAGTAAACTCACTGCAAAGGAGGCTCTTAATAACCAGGTGGATAGGATAGCCCATTCTATTCAGATTATTTAGCTTCCTCCCCCTACTATTCTGGTGCCTGATCAATGACTTATCAACAAAGACATCATGGTGGCAAGAGTGGAGATTATGCTGGGTTCAACAACCTGGGCTTTCACCAATCCTGGCCTGGCTATCATCACTGTGAATTTAAGTCTGTCAACAGTGGAGAGAAATACTGAGCCGCTAATAAGAAACTATAAGCTGTTAGAACCAACCAGCAACCTGGTTCCATTATGGAGGGGGAAGCAACTCATCCTCACTGGAATAGATAATTGGGTTGTATCCAGTTTATGTACTTCCTCAGATTTTCTTGGCCCCACCCGTCCCACTTGTTTGCTCAATGGAATGCTCCCGTCTCGTCATCACTACCATTGTCTCATCTCAACTCCTGCATGCTTTCCACCCTTCCTTGAATGAGGGCAAAGGGGAAGCCTACTTTTCCCGCCATATTCAAACTAAATTGAAGCAACCTGCTTTGGAGCATGATATCTGGCTCCCCAGTGACTGCCCAGAGGCGCTAAGTAGTACAACTTGGAAGTGTGGGGGAGTTAATGCCTCAAATGGTGAATTTTGACCAGTAAGAGATAGGGAAACAGAAAGAAGCCACAGCATAATGAGTGCATATTTGTTTGCATAATATTGGTGGGAGCATGTTGTTGATGCTATTTGTTGTTGTTTTTCTAAACAGGTATGCAAATATACATCTTGAGTATACATAGAAGGGTGTACATCTATGTTGAGTAGTCAAAAGGAAGGCTTGCTTTGGCTATGGTGGTTTGGCAGTCAATATTGATTTTAATCACCTGTGTTGCCTTCCTGTATATTGAAAACTAGAAATATTTTTTTTTACAGGTGCATTTCCAAGTCTTCCTTGCCATGGTGTTTTGCTATATAATTTCAGTTCCACTGAAAAGATTCAAAAGATGAAAGTATGGAGAAAGTTATTTTTCTGATTCTTTGACTTTCTGTTGGCAAGGACCATTTGGACACATTGAGATTTTTATGCACTGCTACAGTTTCTAGCCACTAATTTTCATGAATATTAAGAGCCAGCTGCAATTTGTGGCAGTGGTTTTCTCCCTGTATCACAGCTGTAGCAGTGTCCTTAGCATTTGGCATATAGGAGAAACTCAAAAAGTGCTTAATGAATTGAACTGGATTTCATAGAACTTGTACAGAAAAACAAAACCAAATTTATGCTATAGTCCATAAGTGCCAGGGTGGACATCATTTGCAGCCAATAACTGTATTCATTACATTTTGAGCCTCCCTTATTGGTGTATTTTGTTGTTTGTTTTTAACTACATATGTATACTGAGAAAGAGAGTAAAACAGGGGCTGTGTGCTCCCTCACAATTCAGAAGGGGCTTTCCTCCTCTCCTGCAAGGAATACAAGTTCTCCACTGTTCGGGATATGTCGGTTAAGGGGCTGGGCAGAGTCTTTTGGTACAAACCATGGTAGATGGTTGATGAGTAGGCAGGGGGCTGAATGCTGGCAGTTGGTGCTCCTGACAGGGCATCAAATCTGTGCTGCTTCAGCACACAAACCACTCCCTAACACTGATGGGGATCCAGAGTTCTGTTCACACGGCAGCCCCCTGTTCTCTCTCCTCTCACTCAGTGCATCATTTTTCTAGTCCTGGAGAGCAGTAAATTCCCTCTGCAAGCATGCATCTGAATCTATGTACCTCCTGTTAGACTGGAAGGCTGTTGAAGAATTGAATATCTTAGCTTTCCTTCATAGGCTCTGCATGGGTGACTTGTATCTGCCCGTAAAAACTTGGGGGAGGAAGCCCTTAAGAGGTGAATGAACAAAATCGGTATTTGGTAGAAAAGACACAAACTAATAATTCAAAATAATATTCTACCACAATGTGAATTGCTGTATTGTTTGTTCTTTGTGAGTTGGCAGAAAATAATTTGAGAACTGCCAAAATATATAACATCACTTAACTAGACCCATTAGGAAATATTTCAGTCAAAGCTGGTCTGAAGTATTGGTGTGTTTTAAAATCTGTGGGCCTTCACAGGTTCCACTAAAACAGGTTACACTCATTTCCACTTAACCATTTATTTAGAATGCTAGGGACAAGTTGAGTTGTGTTCTTGGAAATTTATCTTATGATCCCAATTTCTTTCCATATTTGCTAAGGCTAACTCATATTAAATCACCCAATAAAACCTGAATAAGCATCAATAATATTTTCTCCTTACACAATTTGCTTTCTATTGAAGGCTACGTGAAGAGGAGAAGCTCAATTATCTTAAGATAAAAATATTAGATTAGGTGGAAGTCTGCATATTTGCCGGCCATCTGGTTCAGTCACAAACTCCCCAGGAATCCTGAACATATTTGCAACCAAAAAGAATTTGAACTTGAATGACTTTTAAACTGGGACATAAAATGTGGTAACCCAAACTATGCACAGACACTTACAAAGGACCAATTAATAGATTTATTTTGAGCCTTATGCTCTGTGATATTTTTTCTTCAGAGATAACTAAAAGGATGCAAATATTTGTTAATAATTGAATTAAAACTCTCCCACCTCTAAAATGTATTATAAATTTATCCAAAGAGTCTTCTGCTCCAAGGTTAGCCAGAAAGAAGCAAAAACAAAATCAAAAACAAGAATTGCATTGTGTGTAATCTTTCTCATTTGCCAGTTTGCAGGGAAACAGTAGTTAATTTCCTCATGCAAAGGAAACTCCTATAAAGGAAACTTGAGGTGTTTTATGATTAGTCTGGAGATGACAAATAACAAACCTAATTTTTGCTTGTGGAATTATTTTCACAATTACATCAGACACACCTCTTCAGCTATCAAGCTGCAACTTGATGGAAAGTCTACAGTGAGTAGTGTAAATGAGAGCACATGTTGCTGGAACTATGAAGGAAATAGAGAACTATGTACAATATTTCATCTCAAGAAACTTGTGATGTTTCTTTCAGAGGCATTTGAACAAGAACAACTCCATCTTGAATAGGAGCTGGAGAAAATAAGGCCAAGACCTACTGGGCTGCATTCCCAGATGGTTAGGCATTCCTAGTCGCAGGATGAGATAGGAGGGAGGCACAAGATACAGGCCATAAAGACTTGTATCCTTGCTGATAAAACAGGTTGGAACAAAGAAGCTGGCCAAAACCTACCAGAACCAAGATGGCAAAGAGACTGATCTCTGGTGGTCCTCAGGGCTAGACTCCCACCGGCGCCATGACAACACACAAATGCCATGGCAACATCAGGAAGTTACCCTAAATGGTCTAAAAAGGGGAGGCATGAATAATTCATCCCTTGTTTAGCATATAATCAAGAAATAACCATAAAAATGGGCAACCAGCAGCCCTCAGTGCTGCTCTGCCATGCCTATGGAGTAGCCATTCTTTTATTCCTTTACTCGCTTTCACTTTACTTTATGGATTCATCTTGAATTCTTTCTTGTGAGAGATCCAAAAACCTTCTTTTGGGGTCTGGATAAGGATCCCTTTCCAGTAACATTTCTATGTCAGAGATGTCATGTATCAAAATGCAAGTCACCAAGTCCTATGCCAGAACACAGCTCACCTTCAGTTTATAGTAGGATGTCTGGCAAACACCAATTTTAGATCTTGTTAAAACCATTGGTAAGAACCTTCCCCCACCTCATTAATTACCTAAACTGCATTTACCTTCACTAAGGAACTGCAGACTATACCAACACAGGCCACATGCTGTGTTATAGGATTAGCATTTAAAGATAATTCAAACTTTTCAAGTATGTAATTGACAGTGAATAATTTTGAGATATTGACTCTAATTTTGAATCCTAGAGGGAGGATCTTAATGAAAAAAAGCTTCACTTGCTACAAGAGGATTTGCTAAGCTAGGAAGAAAATATTTTCAGTTCAAATGTTACTGGTCTTGTATATTAAAAAACTTTAATCTAGCCAATACAGAAAATTTCCAAAGGAGTATGTGTAACTTGAAATTTACATTATATTTTGTTCTGCAACTCAATGAATGTTTGTGAACTTTTACCGTGCCTCAAATTTTGACTGTCGAGCAGGAACTATTTAAGCTGGTCACCTTATTGAAGAAGAAATACCTTGCTTTGTGCGGAGCATGATATACTTATTATAAGCTTCCAGGCTTGGGCAAAATCGCTATGTGATATACTGTGTACAAAATTGCTATCTGATGTACTGTGATTGCAAAGGTAATCACAAGTAATGAAGGTGATAATGATGAAGAAGATGATGATGATGATAATAATTCATGATTGCTGATGAAAATAGCATTATCAGACACTTACTATGTGCCAAGCACTCTTAGAAGCACTTACACACACTAATGAGTTTAATCAGCAAATAATATTAACCAATGAGGTAAATGCTGAGATGAGCTAGTTTCTCTCCGAATCTCTGGCACTGGTAAAAGAACTGCTAATAAATAAGAAATTAGGGTTAGCTAAAATACCTAGGCACTTCCTGGAGAAGCTCAACCTTGATGGAGCCCACAGTGGGTGGTTGGTTTAGGAAGGAGTATGCCCATCTGGCTCTGGTGACATTAAGGCCGGAGCTTGGTTGTGGCCACCTCATAGCGGATGTAATAAAGCTCCACTGGGGTGCATCATAGCTTCTTTAGTCCCCTTCTATTTCATCATTCACTTTATAATAAAAAAACTCAGGCAGTTCTCCAGAAAAGTGCTATTTTGTATCTTGGGGATGTAGGGAAATGTGTGTCCTATGTTTTGAGTTGTCACAATGATTGGAATTCGGTTATCACTGGCAATGAGCTACTGGAGGAGTGAGGGATGTTAAAGTGTCTTGAAAGCTAAGGCAGTCTCAGATGGTAAAGAATCATTTTGTCCAAAATGTCCACGGCTCTCCTTTGAGAAAGTGTTGATGATTCAGGTCCTAATCAAGTGATATCTAGGCTGGCTTTTACAGTGGTAGAACTGGAATAGAAAATGATATGGTAGGGAAAGGCCGGGCGCGGTGGCTCACGCCTGCAATCCCAGCACTTTGGGAGGCCGAGGAGGGCGGATCACGAGGTCAGGAGATCGAGACCATCCTGGCTAACATAGTGAAACCCGTCTCTACTAAAAATACAAAAAATTAACTGGGCGCGGTGGCGGGCGCCTGTAGTCCCAGCTACTCGGGAGCCTGAGGCAGGAGAATGGTGTGAACCCGGGAGGCGGAGCTTGCAGTGAGCCGAGAGAGCGCCACTGCCGTCCCGCCTGGGCGAAAGAGGGAGACTCAAAAAAAAAAAAAAAAGAAAGAGAGAAAGAAAGAAAGAAAGAAAGAAAGAAAGAAAGAAAGAAAGAAAGAAAGAAAGAAAGAAAGAAAGAAAGAAAGAAAGAAAGAAAGAAAGAAAGAAAGAAAGTTAGTTATATGGGATATGGTAGGGAAGAAATTATAGAGTCAAATCTGGAATATTTCCCCCCAAGTTTTTAAAAAATTGTTAGGCTGCAATGAGAATGTTCTAGTATTGCAGTACATTTATTTGTTAAATAATTGTTGTAGAATACATCTTTGTAATGGACACTTTAGAAGTAGGAGGGAAATATATTTGATGGATATATTGAATGAATTTCCTTCCAGGCATATTATTATTATTATCATTATCATTATTATTATTATTATTTTGAGACAGATTCTCACTCTATCACCCAGGCTGGAGTGCAGTGGCGCAATATCGGCTCACTGCAGCCTCCACCTCCTGGGTTCAAGCGTTTCTCATGCCTCAGCCTCCTGAGTAGCTGGGATTATAGGTGCACACCACCATACCCAGCTAATATTTTGTATTTTTAGTAGAGATGGGGTTTTGCCATGTTGCCTAGGCTTGTCTTGAACTCCTGAGCTCAGGCAACCTGCCCACCTCGGCCTCCCGAAGTGCTAGAATTACAGGTGTGAGCCACCGTGCCCGGCCTTCAGGCATATTAATTGATTGTGCATAGTAGAGATCATACAGACAATGCGTATTTTATTTATTTATCTATTTATTTACTTATTTATTATACTTTAAGTTCTGGGATACATGTGCAGAACGTGCAGGTTTGTTACATAGGTATACACGTGTCATGGTGGTTTACTGCACCCATCAACCCATCATCTACATTAGGTATTTCTCCTAATGCTGTCCCTCCCCTAGCCACCCACCCCGCAACAGGCCCCAGTGTGTGATGTTCCCCTCCCTGTGTCCATGTGTTCTCATTGTTCAACTCCCACATATGAGTGAGAACATAGGGTGTTTGGTTTTCTTTTCTTGTGTTAGTTTGCTGAGAATGATGGTTTCCAGCGTCATCCAAGTCCCTGCAAAGGACATGAACTCATCCTTTTTTATGCTTCATAGTATTCCATGGGACAACACATATTTTAAAACTGCTATTTTGATTATTTGCATTAGAATGGAGTCCTTCAGAGCCTCAAATCAATAGTGTATATTTATAAATTCTGGACTTCTTTAAGGCTTCTGTATGTAAAGCACCATTAAATATTTACCTCTCTTTAAATATTTAAAGGAATAAGCTTTAATTATATTTCCAGTGTTCTATTTATCTTTGCGTTATTCCAAACAAAATGGGAGGGAATTTATTTATACTACATGTCAAAACTGTCTTGTGAAGTAATGCTTTAGCTAATATTACAGAAAATGATAAGCCAAAGTATGATTCTTTGGTATGCTAAGTACTTTGAACTAAAGGAGATTAGAAGGCCTCAGAAACAGCCTCAGAAGCAAAGTCTCTCTCTGACCTCCTGCCCTCCTGTCTCCTGTCCCTCTTTCTCACTTGAAGTGAGTAATAGAAATTGGAATTCGTCTTCCTCTTCCCTAAAGCAAACCATAAAACCTCAAAAGGTCACTCTGTGCCTTCTCCCTCAACAATCTCATTCCAGCGGGGTCCTGCCCCATACCCAGGAGGAAGGAAAGCTTCACAGCCAGAAGAATCTGCACAGACAGGCCTTGAGGGTTTCCAGCCTCGATCTGTTACCATTAGATCATACCCTCTGTCCAATCACATTTCTATACAGTTATCCGTTTTTTATCAAACCTAAGCATATGATAAGTTTCCCTTGGGTCTTTGGATCTTTATTTCTGGAAGCTCCCATGTCACATAAAATTTTGATGAAATAAATGTATTATGCTATTCCCTTGTTAAATTGCCTTTTGTTATAGGAGTGTCAGCCATGATCCTTATGATGGATAAGGAAAGCTATTACACCTTTCTGCCTTTACATTAATATGATGTAGGCATTTCCGTAAACCAGCTGTCATAGAGATAGCTTTTCTCCAAGGACTTTCTACAGCATTAGGCTGCAGTCTCTAGGCACTGTTCGGCTGCTTACCTGCCCAAGAGTTTTCAAGTTTCCAGAGCACATCCTGAACAGTGCTCTCCTGCCAAAACATCAAAACCCTGATGTCTGAAATTTCTTCTCTGACCCTTAGAATGAAGTCAGCTCTCAGTGAATTTGTCATACTTCATCAGTTTTCTATATTTTGGTGACAACTGTTATTATATTTTTAGTGCACCTCTTTAATTAATATTTATCCTTTTTAATTTGGTAAGATACTTGCTTATTACCCTTTTCTTTAGAATTAGTCTTCCCAGTGGAAAAGATACAAAATAGGACTTTATTTCTTCCGCATAGAAGTGTGCTTGTCCGAAGCCTCTGCGTCTTTAGCTACGTGTCTTTTCTTTGTGTACTCTAAAACTAGAGTAGGAAGAAGGTAGGCCCTAGTCTCCCGGCACCAATGCCGGGCCTTAACCTGTGCCTCTGTGCTCTCTAGGAGAGCCACAGAATTCAGGAATCTAGGTCATGGCTGAAGGAGTTATTAGGCTATACCTCCTAGTGAGATCATCCAACATTTAAAGAAGTTTATTATTGAATTTTACTGTTCATATATTTCACCTGTATCAGGGTGAGTTATAGCAGACTCCAATAGCCATACCATATCCACAGGTCAGTTTAATTAAACACTTGCTAAATTAATTAATCAATCCTGGAAAATATGAAATGTATGAAACTATGTCTTTAAGAAAACTATAAGTGATATTCCTAAAACTTTGGGTATGATGATCTAATTTTGATTAAAAACTATGATTTATTCACATATATAATGGTAAATATGATATTTTAAAACAAAATTTGTGTCGTTTTGTCCCTTGAATATTTGGATTATGAATTATAATAAATTTTCATTTTCTTTTTGTGCTTATCTGATTTTTTCAATATTTTTTCTATAAATATGTATTCAGTTATAAGAAAATACAAATTTTCAAACTACATTGACAGCACTATGCTAGCCGCCCTTGCAGTGAGGTTGAAGAATTATTAAAATAACATTATGTAGTCTATGCTTTTAGAAACTTATAATTTGGTTTATTGACCAAGGACATATGCAAACAAAAATTTAAGTAATTATATATTAAAGATTTAAATAGTAAAAAAACCCAACATATTTTGAGGTAGTATGTAATGATAAGTGATAATGAATTTTCTATCTTTAAATAATCTTATTTAATTATTAGAAAATAAACCTTATAATGTATTTTGATCCTCTTTGTTAGGGTGAGAAAACTGAGGACTGTTTTTTGATCTGACTTGTAAATCTATATATAGATTACAACATAATAACAGCTAATATTTATAGGGTGCTTATTATGTGCCAGGAACAGTTCCATGGTTTTCCATGAGGTTAAGTATGGTACAGTGGTTAAGAGGGCAATTCCTTGAAACCTCTGCTTGACTTAAGTCTTCACTTTGCTATTAAGAGAAGCCATGTGAGCTTGGGCAAGTCATTTATCCTGATTGGGCCTTAATTTCTTCATTTTGAAAACTAAGGCAATAATATGTCTTACAGGGTATCAAGTGGATTAAATAAATGGTATACATAAAATACTTAGCACAAATGTGGTATTGTGTTAGCTATTACCACAATATATTAACTCATTCAAATTTTATAATGGTATCAGGCAAGCATTAATGATATCATTAATATTAATATGTCTACTTTTAGATGGAGAAATCAAGACCAAGAAATGTTAAATGATTTACCCGGAGACAGTAGGTGGCAGGGCTAGATTTGAACTATGGTACTATCACGCTAGTGTCTATGCTTGGAACCACTCTATTGAACTGTGTCTTCCAATGATAAACAGTCCAATATCTTTAACATTATGAATAAGTTGCTGCTAAGTAATAAGTAATGCATGTCTTCATGATGCCATAAAATAAATATGCTTTTGAAAAACAATAGTGATTTTCTATGTAACATATAGTATTAGAGTTTTAAGAAGTAAACAGTTGTCTCTGGTATTTGGTAAACTAATTTAATCAAATCATATATCCTTACTGAGGACAAGGGTAGAATTCTCTCTCCTCTCTCCTCCTTCTACCCTCTCTCTCTGTCTTCCTCTCCATTCCACACTCCCACCCAATCTTCTACCTAGCTAGCATTGTGTTGCTTTTGTTTTTTGTCTGAGGGTCAGTGTTGGTAATGGAAACCTCACAGTGAATTCAAGTCTTTTTCTCTGAGATATAATTGAAATCTCAGAAGCCATTGACTTCAATGTGGAGTTCAAATTCTTATCCCAAAATATTTTACATGATTATTGTCATAGCCTTTACATTTCAGTACTTTAGATGGGAAAGGGTTTGATAGTATAAATGGTTTAAAGTAGTTTTTATTGAAGAAGTAACAATAATAGGGTAGGCACATAATTTATTAGATACATATTTGCTAATGTAATCGGAACTATCACTAGAAAAGAAAGCAAATCAAAGCAATTAAATATTTATGCTTGAAGAATATTCTAAGTTCAATAAAATTTAAACCAATTATAGAGTTTTTAAATTGTTTAAATTGTGAGTCATAAATATCAACCTAATTATATATCTGTGGAATAGCTTTGTTTTTTGTCCCTAAAATAGTTAAATCCAGTGGTTCTCACCCCTGACTGCACGTTAGAGTCACGTTAGAATAGGGCGTGGGGGTTAAAAATCCTGATGTCCACGTTACACACTTGACTATAATCTGTGGGGGAGGGACTCAGACCACATTTTTCTGCAGATTCCGAAGTGATTCCAATATGCTGACTACAATTGCTTTAACAGATTACTGAATGTTCATGTACACTGAACTGAAAGTTTGGCTCTTCAAAGGCATTCTATTAGAATAGCAGAATTTGCTTCTCAGCCACTTGAAGTTTGGCTCTCATCACAGGAACAAGCATCTTCCCATAGAGAAAGGATGTTCAATTTGGCAGAACTCTGAGCACAGGAAGAACCATGAAGGACATTATTTATCTTTTCCCTGGGCTTGCGGCAATCATTACACATGAACATGTTTATTTATTACAATAATAAATGGTTTTGTTTTTAGATTCACATGCAAGAATCTCAGCATCTTCAAAGAAGGACCTTTCATAGTCTCTAAAGTCTCAAACTCACTTGTTTTTTATCTTTCTTTGCTCTCTGCATATATATGAATTTTGGCAGGCAGAATTTTCATTGATTAAAATCAAAGAAACATTTTTTTCAAATAATGTTTTAAAAATCCCAGATATTTCCAACAGATGAAAAGCTGGCAATTGGGCCCCTTGCTTTGAAAGAAAAATATAAAGATACAATATTCTTAGAAGTCTATTTCTATCCAAGAATCTTACATTTGTTGTTAAAGCCAATAGCTTCATTGTCAGGTAATAGAAAATCAGAGCTTTCTCTCCTCCCTGGGGGTACTCTCCTGAATAAATGGAGCTCAGGCTGCTGTCTGACACCAACTAAATTAAAGAGCCATCTTTTAATAGCTGAGGCATGAAGCTATTATCTTCCTGAATATACCACCTACTGAGAAGCAAAGACTACGGAACCATCTTAAGACATGCCTCTAAATAATCCTAAATGGAGGGCCCAAGAAGTAGAGATAGGAAAGGAAATATCTTCTTACACTTCCAGTGTCAGTTTCTTCTTAGTTCATTTTCTCCCTCATATTCTCCAATAGTCTTGGCTTTTATACTCCTCTTATACATCTACCATCATAGACAGGGTCCATTCTGCACAAGAATAGTCTTATTATAATATTAAGCTCTGTCACTCTGTAGGAAAGTAAGGACATCACATCTTAATAGTTTACTTGTTTTATTTTAACATTATGAAACTCTGTAAGATCCTTCAATATTAGTATCAAGCAAGTTTTGTATATGACCAGGCCACAATATACAAAAATTGCTGGCAAGGTGAAGATATCGTCCATCTATGTAAGAACTGAAACACTAAAAGTAAATGATTTAATTTCATATTATCCTTGGACTTTTTTCTTCTCCAAGGCAATTAATGTATTGCAAGTAAGTATGGGAAAAATTTTAAGGTACATTTTTATTTGAATATCAATGACAAACTCATTTAGGTGTGTTTCTGTTCAAGTCATTGCACCAGCAATAGATCCTTGCATTCAAGAATTCATTTCTGTATATCAGAAAAATCCAGAAACTATTTTTTATGTTGAAAATCCAGAGTAGGGGTGGAAATATTGCAAAATATATTCCTTGCTATTGGGAGTGTAAAGTGCTAAAGAGAAGAACTTAAGTATGAAAAGAAAAACCTTTTTTTAATTCAGCACTCATGATTAAGTTATAAAGCATTTAAAATGTGTTAATCTAATCAACAACACAATAGATTTCTGGGATTGCTGAACTGGTGGGCAAAATTAATTATGCTTTGAGTCATATACAAAGAGAAAAAAGTCAATATATTTTGGGATAATACTATAGTTGATTTAGCGACACCATATAAATGCTCTTTTTTTTTTTTTGACTTTGCAAGAGTACTAGGAAATGAAAATTGTACGTATTTACAATTTGAAGTCAAATGTATCAGAACAAGAATGAATTAAATGCCTTTCTTGGAAATAATGTATTGACAGAGTTTGACACAAAGAAAAATAGCTAAGATTCTACAACTCAGAAGAATTAAAAGATACTGCAGTAACACAAAATTGACTTTTAATGTACCAGTTCATTGTATCTTACAGAAAATCAAAACATTTTTTTTTTGGTAATACAGATTGATTCTTCTCCTCAAAGTTATACTTGATATCTATTAAATGCCTTTAAATATTGGTTTTCTTTTAATCAGGTGGCTTAATAACTTTTGTATTTTTCATCTCTTTCGTTGTACATCCATTGCCGCTCTGGCAGTAGTGAGCTACGATACAGTTAACTTCTTAACAAAACGATGTCAGTTATCCGTTGATATTTCTTAATGCATCCTATGCTAAAAACTGATAAGTGATTCCCTTTTAATCCTCCCCTCCTTAGTGGTCAGCTACTCCATGAGACCACCATATTCTTTGGAGTACTAAAATCAAGAAACCCAGAATGGCTGCCAGCAACCAAATTGTAATCTCCTTTGAGTCTACTTCTAATTGCCAAAATAAAAAGTGACTATATTGTTGCATAAAATAACACTTTGACAGGTACCAGCCCCCTTTCCATGAGAGAAAGTTTAAATTTACAAACGCCATATTTGGCTAAAAATTACTGTGACACAATATGACAGCACTCACTTAAAGATGGCTTCCAGTGTTAATGTGACCAACTTATTTTCGTTCTTATGTTGTCTTTTTATTTGAATTGCTTCTTTTTGTTTGGGTTTTCCAATGTAGATGTCTCAGTGAAATGTGCAGATATACTTTGTTCCTTATATGGTCACCAGTGTTAATTATGGACAAATACATTAAAACAAGGGTTCCTGGCCCAGCCTCCCATCTAATCTCTTTGATACTCTTGGAATCTAAGTCTGAGGAGCGATTTCTGAATTAGCCAGTGTTGTACCAACTTTCTGTTAGGAATTGTATTAGAATAACCTTTCTTTTTCAGACCTGCTCAGTGAGACATCTTGGGGAATGAAGTAGGAAAATAGACATTTGGTGGAAAAACAGCAAAATGAGAACATTAAAAAGACTCATTCAAGTATGAGTATAAAGGGCATGGAAATTCTGGTCCTTTGAGCAAAATGAGAAGAAAAAATTCTGCTCAGCAGTATTCACTGTGTTAAGATTTTTTGTTTTTTACACGAATGGAAAAATGATGTGTAAGTGGTATAGATTTTAATCAGCTAACAGTCACTCCAGAGATTTTGATCAGCACCAATTCCTATAGTAGTAAGTATTTAAAAGTTAAGAAATACTACTACATTTAACATTATAAAGTAGAGTTCTGGACATAACTGAAAATTAGATGTTTGCTTCAATAGAAATTTGTTCCCACTTGTATTTTCAACAAAATTATCGGAACATACATAATAATAGTTCAAGTATGGACTTCTTTCAATGAGCTAGCCCCCATATTTGAGGTGTTAAAGTTGTTATTTGGGAGATAGTCCCCTCTTTAAATAATATATCATCTCATCCTAGACCATTTAGGTATCTTCCTTAATTTAGAAGTGCAAGTTCTATTTATACCACCAGTGTTTGAGTTTAAACTTTACAAACTCTTTGGATTTATAGTTTTGTACAGTTTGCATATCCAACCTAACTTAAAAATGTGCATACATAACATTGTCATCTTTTAATATTAAAGCATCTGAAAATTTTCAGATATGTTTTTGATGAAAGAAAGGACCTACTTTTATTACAATATTTTGTCTGAATAATATATGATTATAGTTATGGTTTCATGGACTTCCAATTGTTCTATACCTTCCACACACAGAACTCTATAGAGTAAATTTATTAGAATTATTACAGAGCTTTAAATGCAACCACAATCCATTCAGGAAACAGATTTATTTACTCATGTTCATGGGAGGAAAATCTACATAAAAACATTCATGAAAGCATACCGGCTATGTCATACTTGGATTATTATAGTAAATCCCATTTATTAGAACTCATTGTGAAACAATGGGAAACCATGAAATGTAATTTGAATACAAATATTGGTCCCTGTGGGGTCTCAGCAGTCATAAAAATATAGGAAAACAGAGCTTTATTTAAGAAGATTGGAGCTGCTAATGTGGAAAATTGTGTTTGGAAGCTGGACTTAACCTTTTATTTAAAGCCCTGAAGATTTTAGTGTAAACTCTTTGATGACAGCTTCAGCATTTAATTTAAGCCTAATGATGACCAGCAAGGAAAGTGACATCATTAACCACATTTTCTGTTTGGGATAAGGTTTAGAACTACACTGTTGACTTTTCCCCCCAAACACAGGCACTGGTTGGGTTCTCTCGTGTATATACAAATAGGAATAATAAGAATTTTGAAAGTTGCATCTTTGTTTCTGCATTAGGGATTCCTTTTATAATGTAATTGATTTTCATATAATGTAAATATGAAATATTAAATCAGTTTAAAGTTATTTTTATAGGACAATAACATTTCATAGGCTAACAGAAAATCAAGCTGCTAAATTTTACAATTTTTCTGTCCAGCAGTTTATCTATATAACTGCCCTGAGTAGATGCTAAATGCTGCTTAGCAAATGGCCCTTAGAATTTAAATACAACTCGGTAAAGCTACTCAAAAGATAAAACAATTCCTCTTAGACATGTGTAATTTTAATTATAAGAAGGTAGAAGTCTTTTTCATTGGTTAAATATTATCTGCTTATTTATGTGTCATGCTTCATATAAATGGGATTATTGAGGAGTTTTAACTGTGCTTGTTACTATGGATTGGAATCCATATGAATTTTTTTTTTTTTTTTTGGTCAGAAAGGCAGGATTTTAAAGAGTAAAATATTCTGCCTATTAGAGACTTGAAATATTAACTTTTAGAAAGGTATAGATTGTTCCCTTGTGAAACTGAGTTTTGTATAACCTCTCAGTTTATGTAAAGAAGCCTGTATTTCAAATGTGTTGCTCTAATTTGTTTATTGTAGTGCATTTCAAAATTGTACAAATGTGTAAAGTTTGTGCTTGTGGAACCTGCTGCTCTGAGTAGCTTTACTTTCCTTAATTTAATCCTAGCAATTCTTAAGCTATTGCATGCCCCGTTCATGAAAGGATACTTTGTTGGGATGATACAGCTTAAACAGTTTGGCTCTAAGTCTCCTTACATAGAGCTTCCCTTAAATTTATATTAATTTATAATATATATTGAATGATAGCTTTACAAAAAACAAATCAATGAATTGATCTTTATGAAAATGACTCTTTACAGTAAGTAAAAAAGGGTTATCACAGTTTTGGTAACTTGCATGAGTTCATATTGGAAAAAAAAAACACCTTTCACATGTTCTTAATGACTTTAAAACTGATGCGCTCTAAGGGCACATTCAGTTGTATGCTCTGAAGCAGTAGACACCATACAGCTTATGCTTTTTATCTGGGAAACCCACGAAGCGCACTGCAGCCTCAGTAGGACTGCAGCGCCTTCTTGGCCTAGAGATGGGGTAGCGGACGCTGCCATCCGCCAACCAGCCCGCATCACAGCGGTCATATCCGAGAATTTTCCAGGCAGCAAATATCTGGCCCACTTTTGCAATCTGAGCACCATCATTGAGACAAGCTTGCACCGCTTCATCATAGGTCAGTTTGGTGGGGTGGATCAGATAGTAAAAACGGCCTGTAGAGAAAAGGAGACAGAGTCAATGGGCTGGTCTTCAATTGAGCCACACAGAGATAGAAAGAGCCAAAAACGGAAGTGTTTCTCAATGAAGGGGGATATAGAGCAATGTTTGTAAAATTTTGGGAACATAGAAATGTCAATTAAATATAGTGTCCCTACGTCACTTCCATTAAATTAGTTTTTTCCCTTGCCCCTTAATATGTGTCCAGACATGCCCCTTTTATAGCTTTAAAAAGAAAAGGGAAATGGCAGATGCAGTTTCTGTTAGCTAATTAGTGACTAAAAGAGCCCTTCTGTGGCACTAGAGAAGACAGAATTCCATGTTAAAAGCAAGGGCTATTTAAATTCTAGCTGTACAAGACTGAACCCCAGCACAAGTTTCTGGAGAGGCAAAATTTGAATGTGAAAGGATCAAAACACATTCCTGACATAAAAGTCCATTTAAAAAAAAATCAAAAGCCCTCAAGTCCTTTTCATTACAGGTATCAATTAGACATTATTCTCATTCAAAGACTACGTATGAAAATGCGTAAAATACAGGAAGTCACTTGCCACAGATAATACGTACTTAGAATGTAAACCTAGTCTGTGTTGGTTCACTAGCAAAGAAGACAAATTTGTTTATTTTTTTCAACTTCCATTTGTTGAAACCCTGACACCTAACTATTTCTCAATTTCACTAGGAAGACAAATTAGTCCCGATCACTTATTGAATAGTGTTAATTACTGAGATTCCTTCAATATGTATTAAGTATGTGTAAAATGTATAAAATATGACTTCAACTGACTGAAAGTGATAAATACACATGGACTGAAGATTTTCTTATACATCTTAGTTTTAGGTCGAATCTAATCAGACTCTCTTGCCTGATTAGACATGTAATATGATGTTCCCCTGACCCTCATTAGATATAGGTTACTGAAGTATAAATTAATGCTTGCCAGTTCTTTCTAGACTGAGATGATGTGATTTGGAGAAAGGGTAGTGGCCACTGGAATATTAACTAGAGGTTAAGTACAATCATCTACACCAGAGTTCAGCAAACTATAGCTCATGGGTCAAAATTGGCCTCCTACCTGTTTTTGTAAATGAAGTTTTATTGGAATGCTGCCATCTCCCTCTGGGTTTAGTATTTTGATGGCTGTTTTTGTGCTACAACATACACATTTACAATGAGCCTTTGCAGCAGACACCATATGGCCAGCAAAGCCAAAAATATTTACTATATGGCCCTTTACAGAAAAAGATTGTCGGCCAGGCACAGCGGCTCACGTCTGTAATCCCAGCACTTTAGGAGGCTGAGGCAGGCTGATCATGTGAGGTCAGGAGTTGGAGACCAGCCTGGCCAACATAGTGAAACCCCATGTCTACATTAAAAAGAAGAAAACTCACAAAACCAAAAAACAAAAATTAAGTAGGCGTGGTGGCATGCACCATGGTCCCAGCTACTCAGGAGGCTGAGGAGGGAGAGTCATTTGGGAACCAGGGAGGTGGAGGTTGCAGTGAGCCCAGGTCATGCTACTGTACTCCAGCCTGGGTGACAGACAGGGTGATACCCTGTCTTAAAAAAAAAAAAAAAAAAAAAAGATTATTGACCCCTGACCCATAATCTCTTTCTATTTTTCCCAAAGCATGTCACCAGGGACCTCAAATATAAATAATGGAGCCAGGGCTTGCTTCATGGGTGTGTGACCTGTGCCACCACACAGGGCCCCACACGGAGAAGGGCTCTGCATTTAGTTTAATGTTCCGCTGTCACCATCTTAAAATTTTTAACAGTTTTGAACAAGGAGCTCCACATTTTCTTTCCTTTTTTTTTCTTTTTATTTATTTATTTTTTCTTTTAGAGATGGGGTCTCACTATGATGCCATGTCTGGTCTCAAACTCCTGGGCCCAAGCAGTGCCCCTGCCTAGGCCTCCCAAAGTGCTGGGATTATAGGCGTGAGCCACAGCACCCAGCCCACATTTTCATTTTACACCGGGCTGCACAAATGATGTGGCTGGTTCTGAAGACAGCAAGAGAAGGGCTGAGAGGTGTATGAATAAAATGAATCAGTCATCAACACTGCTGCAACCTTTCCTTCTGCTTTCACCTTGAGAGTTAGTTCTATTTTCTTTTTCTTGCTTACTCCCCACTTTGTCCTGAGCTCTGTTGATCACCTATGAATAAGTGTATATGTGATTGTGATTGAGAGAGGGAGAGCATGGGTAATAATGAAGGCACGCTTACTTTGATTGACAGAACCATATCCTACGGAGGGCACACACTGGCAGCATCATCTTTGACAATAGGTAACAGACCTCAAGCCACATAACAGTTTCAATTATTTCATATAAAAATGGGATGAAATAAAACGTAGGAGTACTGGGAATATGTACTTTTGCTTGACTTGTGTGGATATTTAAAAATTATGACACTCAAGAACTTTTTATATCTTTTTAAACTACAGCAAAACTTCAAAGCTTGTTTTTGTTTGTTTTTCTAAGAAGATAAGATTAAAAGCCAAGTGTAGTGTTATAGTATGGAATAGTCTGTGAGATAGGAAAGAAGGCAGTACAGTTATTATCTTACCATTGAAATTGGATGTAAAACAGAAAACATCATATCTGCTTTTATCTTTATCCCAAAATCCGTAGTTCCTGACTCCGGGCACTGTGTTCTGCCCCCCACAGGGCTCTCTGGGCTTTGTGATGGGATATTGCACAGAGCCATCACTGAGCCAGCCGGCATTGCACCAGTCCAGCCCGCCCCGCCAGGCGTCGTACAGCTGGTCGAAGGAGGCGATCACAGCATCCTGGTCCAGACACGCCTGCTGCGCCTCGTGAAAATTGAGATTGTAGCGCCCCAGTCGTGGAAAGTAAGGGAATACCACACCTGTCCAAAGGAGAAAGCAAGGAGTTGTTAGAAGCCCCAAAACTAACAACTCTGAGCAAATGCCACCTAGTTGGTGAAAAACCTAACAGACCCTCCATCAGATGAGACAGTAGTTTTTCGTCAACTAGCAACTGTTTCTCATGATCCCTTTCCCCTTCAAGCAGCCTCTCAGTTCTGAGCATCTCATGATCAGCTTTTTAATTTTATAACTTCAGTGATTTACTGCTTTAGCTAAGAGTTCAACTCAAGTCTTAAAATTCTCCTTTCTGAAGAGATCTGTCTACAGTTTACAGTTTCCAAATAGCCCTCCCCAGGAACTTACCATTTGCTGCCAGTTACTAACACTATAATGGGTTACTACTGAGCTCTGTCACCTAGGGAAAAAGTCAATATTGAATACTAAGAGTTGGTGGCAAATATAGAAATAGTCATTGTTGAATACTAAGAGCGGAGGGGATGTAGTGCTCCAAGAGAGGTACTTATCAAAATTCACAATGTTTTTCTTAGTGTTTTTCCTATATAATTAGTAATTAGTTTTATGTAGTCTTTTAAATGTATAAACAAGCATATTAACAAATTATTCAAATGTAGATATATAACTTTTTACATGTTCTTCTAATAACTTGCAGATAAGTAACCTTCACTTAGGGGGGACTCTTATTTGGAGAAATGTGAAAACAAGCTTGTCCAACCCATGGCCCATGAGCCACATGTGGCCCAGAACAGCTCTAAATGCAGCCCAACAAAAATCTGTAAACTCTCTTAAAACATTGTGAGATTTTTTGTGATTTTCTTTTTTCTTTTTCTTTCTTTTTTTTTTTTTTTTAGCTCATCAGCTATCATTAGTGTTAGTATATTTTATGTGTGGCCCAAGACAGTTCTTCTTCCAATGTGGCCGAGGAAAGCCAAAATATTGGATACCCCTGCTAAAGTGGACTCCTTTGCATATTTAACAAGAAAATAATTAAACAACTTTATTTCAGATTAATAAGACAGATCTGTACAGTGAGGCACGCCTCCATAGAAAGCATCATGGTACTCTTGCATGTTTACTTTTAATGTAGCCCTTAATCTTATTTTTTTTCCCTGCCCTTAAATAGCAGGACTAAAACAAGGGCTTTCATTTAAAAGTATTTCCATTACTATTTTTCAACTTCCACATGTATATATTGCAAACTGAAAGTAAGGGGTTTGAAACATTTTTATTATAAACAGGAAAAAAAAACTTCCCTAAGCTTGTCCTGTAAAAGGTAGGTACAGAATAGACATCCATTGATTGACTAATGCCAAATAATTAAGTTAAATATTTTGAGGACAAAAGTTCCTTAGCAAATGTAAACAGTGTGACTTCGTATTTGATTTTGCCTAGGAAGGTGTATGGCTTTCCAAAACATTTCTTTTGGTCAAATAATTATGGGAGGTGACCAAGCTGTCTCACAACACTCTGCCCATTTTCTTTAAAGGCTAAGGATTACCACATAAGAAAGCAAAGTTGCATCACTTGCTGGACTTTGAAAAGGACTAATGTGTCAAAGTATTTCTCCCATGGTTATTAAAAGATAAGTAATTTTGAATCATTATTCAAGGGCTTGCCTTGAATTTTTTAATATAATTAGAAATAACTAGTATTTTGGCATCTGGAATGCAAACATTTGTCCCACTGACACAGTAATTTGGTGAGTTATAGCACATGTGCTATTTTATGAGACTGCAGACGCTATTCAAGATGATGTACAAACTCACTAATAGCATAACCAGTACACAGAAATATTTCTTTAATAAATTGTCCTAGAAGACTCTACAAGAAGAAATTTCAATGGCCTTAAATCAAGTCACATCCACTGAAGGCCTCGGTAGGACACGTTTGTCTCTGTAGGGCAATCCAGCTGGCACCATCCATGAAAGGCAGAGACCCAAGAAGGCTTCCTGATCTCATTCTGCCTTCTCAGGTTCTTGGCTGAAGGATCTATAAGCTGAATCAGAGCCAAAAGGAAGGAGTAAAAGCCTCTCTTGGTTGCCACTAACTCCTGTGGTGAGGGGTGAGGGAAGGCCTGGAGATGGTTCTATCTAAGGAGGGCTCTGCCCAGGCACTGAGCTGGGAACCCAGTGAGTGCTGGGAAATAACTATTATGGTGCCCTGGTCCCTCATATCTTTTATCCTCTTTCCTCAGCAACCCTGGGAGTGCTGATGAAAAGGAAAATATTTGATTTATTCAGTAGAGATTCCTTTTAGCTAGATCTTAAGTGACAGAAAATCTCAAAGTATCTCAACCTGAGGAGAGAAAGAAACCAGTGGGGTTGACTTCCATTTCCAAAATGGCTGAAGATGGTAACATTGGAGAATGCAGAATATTTTAATTTATACTAATTTTAAAGACCTGGAAAATCTTTCAGGTTTAAATTCACTGTAGTGTATTTTGGTGGACTCTCATAAACATCGGGACAAGTTTTTCTCTAGTAATTTGTCCTTGATTAACCACTGAACATTACTTAAATACGATTTAGTTCCACATCCAGTGCTATATATTTTTGAGTTGTTTTCAAATTCAACATAATTTCATACAATCATTTTTTAGGGTCAAAGTGAAACTTATGTTAATATTTTAGTATTTTTCAATTGTAAGAATTGTCAACTAAGTGTTGTATCAGCTCAAAAGATTTACTTAACAAATTTGAATTACTGTTTGATGTGCTGGAAAGAACATATTCCAAGTAAATCAAGGTAAAGCTCTATGCTTTACTCAAAGTTTTAAAACTTTCCTTGTATTCTACAAATTTCACATACACATTTCAACAGTAAGATGTATCTTACAAGCAGGGCCATTTTTGGAACTTCATTATTGTTAGTATTTTATTTGTTTACTTATTATACTTCTGGCTAGTTAAGATTTTAACATCCAATTGCAGAAACCTTCTTGGCTCTGTAGAAAAAATGTGCAATTCTTACAGCTGAATTCTGGAGCAAATGGTTGCTTTTATCCAATGTTGCAAAAATAAAAAAAAGTTAAACTTTTATGGATGGGAAAGAAGGTGGTATGATTGTCCAAGGAATATCTGACTAATTTATCCTCCATACTTATATGTCAAAATATAATCAAAAGGGACACATAAAAGTTAAAGTAAGCTTTAATAATTACATAAAGTAAATATTTCTAGTCATAAAAAGGCAGCGACCATGTAGCATAAATAATATTACCTTCCTTAGTGCCTGTCATAGTGCTTATCAGTGCTATGCACATATCTGAAATTGCGTTTCTATTTCTGATAGTTCTCAGACTATAATTTTGTATATTTAGCCCCATTTTCACCAATGGAAGATAAATACAATGGAAGTTTGGAAGCATAAATGTCATGTTTTTCATATCATTATTTGTGTATTTATTGATTGCTGTGCTCAATTGAATTGCTGATTCTGTAGTCCAAGCTTCTTCCTAAATTCCTAGTGACACTCTTTTGTTACATCTGTATAAAGCTTGTTGCTTGTTGCCTGCTATTTCTAGGTAGGTAATTGGTGGCAGTCAGAGGGCTCTGCCCTCTCCAAGATTCTGTATGAAAATGCCGTGTTTCCATATCTAATTCCAACTCACATGGAGGTCAGTCTTTGTTGAGGATTTACAATTTTTTTTTTTGTCAGTATGGTTATATGGACAGTTCTTAACAACTAACAGCAAGGCACTGTGCTTGGTACTCTAGGATATAGGTATGGATGTGGCCTCTTCCTATATTTGACTATATATATATATATATATATATATATATATATATATATATATGGTTTGAATCCAAGACAGAATAAATATATGTAGTTTGGATATATATATGGCTTGAATCCAAGGCAGAATAAAAGCTTGTAATACAAATAGGAGCTATATAATTTAGGCTACATGAAGAATTTTTTTTTCTAATTAGTAAAATTCTTTAGTGTAAATAGCATTTAAGCTGGTATTAAAGGACCAACTCAATTAAAGATAATGTGCAATTACAGTTGGAAAAGCAGCTCAGTCAAGGCATTTAAAATGAGATGCTTCCCTGGCCCTTTGGTGCATGTTAGAAGACTGACAGGGAGTTTGAGTACCACTGCCTGATTGGTAGATAGTCACATGTAAGGATGTCATTGATAATGAAAAAGGTTAAAAATGAGAACGAGAGCTAATAAGTGATAACCAGAAGGTATGTCTTTTGCCGTGTGTGGTTCAGCACAGATTTCAAACTCTTATGCATATAATCTGCTGCATCTTGAGTTTCTATCCCAGAATACATGGAGAGTGTCCTTAGCTTATGTCAAGTTTTCTCAAATTTTATTTTTATGGCTTTTATTTTATTCTTGTGGCTATCTGAATTTGTTGTAAATTTACTTTGAAATATCAATCCTCATCTTACTCTGAAGTATATTTAGACAAAATAATATCCCATCTGAGTTTTTCTTGAAAATTATTCAGTGGTAGTGGGAGTAAGAAAGCAAAATAAAATAAGATTGGCTATATCATGATACTTTTTGAAGCTGGATGATGATATATGGATTCATTACACTATTCCTTTTACTTTTCCAAATGTTTGAAATTAGCGACAATGAAAAGTTAAACATTCTTATCCCACCCTGCCACCAACGTGAGACTTAATGCAGGCAAGCTGGAATGCTGTCGGTGGTATCTGTTGTTCACATTTTTGCTTTGAGTAATTTCTCTCTCTTATCTATGATGCCCTCTCTCCTGCTTTTTCATGCTCATTACCTTTTGAAAGGCTTACATTCATGGTCCAAATCAAGTATCTGGTTTTTTTTTGTTTGTTTGTTTGTTTTTTTGAGACGGAGTCTCGCTCTGTCACCCAGGCTGGAGTGCAATGGCGCGATCTCGGCTCACTGCAATCTCCGCCTCCTGGATTCAAGCGATTCTCCTGCCTCAGCCTCCAGAGTAGCTGGGATTACAGGCACGTACCACCATGCCAGGCTAATTTTTGTATTTTTAGTAGAGATGGGGTTTCACCATGTTGACCAGGCTGGTCGCAAACTCCTGACTCCAAGTGATCAACCCGCCTTGGCTTCCCAAAGTGCTGGGATTACAGGCGTGAACCACCATGCCCGGCCGTGTCTCTTTCTTAAGAATGGTTTCCATGACTCCCACATTGCATGCACCCTTTTTTGTATTTGAAAGTTTAAACACTTTGTATCAAACATTCTTTTACTTGTAAACTATTTACTGAGCATGAATTCTGTTCTTGGCACTTGAATGTCCTCAAGTAGATCATGTTTAACAGACAAAGAAGTTTACAAATATTTACAAAACAAAATGTGATCAGAGCTATAATGGAAGTCTACATAAGGTGCTATGAGAACATCATGGAGGAGGCAGATTTAACAGCTACCACGAGCACAGGACAGGTCCTAGCTTATCGCTCCAATAACTTTGAGACTTTCAGAATTTTCTAAAGCCTGAAGCAGCTGAATGCTCCTGTTTTTTTAAAGCCTCTCCTCTACCAAAAGAAAATTTCTCCTTCTTACAAACCCTTAAATCACAGTGGAGTAGAGCATAGGCTTCATGCAATACCTTTGGTATCAAATTCCAGCTCTAGCTCTTACTAGAGCTAGCCATGTTATCTTAGAAAAGGTGTTTGTCTTAAGCTTCATCTATAAAGAAGATTGACTGAACATGAACAAAATAAATAGAACATATGATTATAGAAATTTGTTTGTGCCTACTTATTTTACTGACTTCTGCCTTATTTCATTAAATTATTTGAGAATCTTTAATGGACTATAAGATTGTTGAATGAAAGAGCAAAGATTGGAATTCTTTCCATCTCATGGCACCAAAACAGCACCTGTAAAAATATGTATCAATTAAATTGGTTTCTTGGACCACATTTACTTAGCTCATATGCATATATTCTATATGGCAGGGAATGTTCCCTAAGCATGGAGAGTCTGGAGATTTGCAATGGTGCAGAGCCTAGGAGAAAAAAATTCTTTTCTTTTTTTTTTTTTTTTTTTTGAGATGGAGTCTTGCTCTGTCGCCCAGGCTGGAGTGCAGTGGTGTGATCTCGGCTCACTGCAAGCTCTGCCTCCTGGGTTCACGCCATTTTCCTGCCTCAGCTTCCCGAGTAGCTGGGACTACAGGCGCCTGCCACCATGCCCGGCTAATTTTTTGTATTTTTAGTAGAGACGGGGTTTCACCATGTTAGCCAGGATGGTATCAATCTTCTGACCTTGTGATCCGCCAAAAATTATTTTCTTAGTCCCCTTTCAGCATCTCTAATTGTGTCTTGGAGGAGCCTTGATTTGACCCTATAATGCGTTATACTGTAACATAGGTTGAAGCTCCTTTAAAACAGTGACCTTATTTTATTGTATTTATTTTTATTATTTCCTTGTATTTCTGGTAAGTTATACTGGTTTCTTTTTATTTAGAGTTTAATTTTGTAAAATAAACATAGACAGTAAATATTGCATGTGAATTACTTAAGTTTAGGAAATATTTTGCTATATAAACATAGGGTTTTAGAAGAAAATGTAACAACAGATAATAGAATTCAAACTTGTTTAAGGATAAGTGATCTGCCCCAGTTACAAAACTGATACTGGCAGAGCTGAGGCGAACCTAAGCCTCTTAATACTACTAGCTCAAGGCTCTCTCCAACCTTCCATGCCCCTTTGATAAATAGTTTCAATTAATATTTGATGACCTACTGTCTTCTCTAAGTCAACTCCTTCCATCCTGAATAATGCCAATGTTCATGGATATTAATATGAATCAATAAAAACTTAAAGCAAAAGTGGCATGTACTCAGGGGCCAAGAACTACCTATGAGAGACAACGAAAGGTCACAAAAATGTACTTTACGATGTTGTGCAATTTATTAGATGTATAAAGCAAATAAATCTCCATATATGTGATAGGATTGTATGGGATTCAAAAGGTCAAATAGTGACACAAATCTGTCCTCAGGGGTAAAAGGAGCTTCTAGCAAGCGTACACTTAGAGTTTTATGTAGATAAGGAAGGAAAGCATTCTCTCAATGCTGCCAAAATCCACCCTTCAGTATAAAATAATGCTGAAATTTACGAAAAATAAGGTGTCCTGTGATCCATGAGAAACTAAGGAGAGGAGGGTCTCTAGAGGGTGGACATTGGGCAGAGGGGAGGCAAGGATGGCAAGGACACTTTTTATTGTACAGGTTTGTACACATGTTGGTTATTGAACCTATTGAATGGCCTACATATTTAAGAAATAGAATTCTCCCACAAAATGCCTCGACCGTATGGCTAAGCGACTCTGAACCATTACAAAATCACTTCTTTAGAAGAATATTTAAAGAAAGCTAGAGATTACTTTTTTGTTGAATTAAGGTTTTGCAGTCATTTTACAGAATACAATTACATATATTTTAGTTAGCAGATGTCCTTTACAAAACATGCCATTATTTTGAAACTGAGATAATTTTAGAAACAAAATAAAAAAAGTACACAGTCTGAATTTCTCAATAACCATATAATGGAATTTAGATGATTTTGAATAACATAAGGCAGTATCTGAAAACTGTTAATTCAGTTCCACTGCACGTTTCTCCTAGTTACAAATAGCTTCAATTTTGCACATAAGCATTGTGTATGCATTTCAAACATGAAAGCTGGAATCATAGGCAGACTGTAGAATACAAAAGAATAAGATGCCAGGCAAGGACTTTGGTTTTTCACTTTATTACTGTGTTAACCACTAGACATTACTCTTCATGAAAAAAAAAGCAACTATTAATGACCATTTATACGTTGAACATGACTTATAGATACATACCTTGTAAGTCCAGTGCTACCACAACAGTATCATCTTCTAATCCTTCAATCACCTCACACTTATATCTCCCATAATCTTCCAGAGTGAGGTCTGTGATGACCAGAGAAGCATCACTATCACTGCCTCCCTTCAGAAACACTCTACCCTGGTAGCCTCCATAGGTTTTTTTGTGGTATCCCATGGAAACAAAAACATCCACTTCCTTGAGGTAATCCGAAGTTAGCTTGGTCCACTTAATTCGGATTTTATGGATTCCTGAGCCAAATGCTGTAGGGTCTCGATAAAATTTACATGGCAGTGTAACATTGCCACCTCTGTGTGAAAACACCTTGGCTTGCTCTGCTTCCACAAGTAGATGGGGGCCATTTTCTGCTATAATTAAAAAGGAAAAAAAAAAGAAAATAACTATTAATATACTTTCAGACATTTTCATAAAATGAAATATATCACATATATAGGATATCTGACAAAGGATAGCTTTGAGTGGTTAGCTTCTCTACGTAATCTCTTTTGAACCATATAGAAAGGGACCTCTAATAACTAGAAGGTATCTCTAAAGTAGTCATTTTTAAACCAAAGGGGAGGAAGTTACATTATCGTCAGTAAGAAATGTTGGATATAAAACTCCATAGTCATCTGAAGGTCAATGATTTCATAATAAATTCTATTTATTATTGTTTCAATTTTTTCTTCTACATTTAAATATCAAAAATATAGAAACAAGACCAAGAGAAGTGAGAGAGTTGCATGATGGGTTCGTCAATATAAACCCAAACATTTCAAGGTAAGGTAAACCCAGCTGGGCTTTCTAATACAAGAAGTTTATATTGTACTTACAGGCAAAATATGAAGCAACATGATTCACTTTCATTGTACAGTTCTGGCCAAAGAACTCAGAATATCCTCACATTTATGGCTTCTAGTCAAATATACACCTGTGTTAGGCTCTTCTGAAATATTTCAGGAAATATGTATTTTGTTTTCACAGGAAGTTTAGACAAAGGTAATTTTAATAAATGCTTTCGACAAATTCCAGAAGATTTTGAAATGTATTCCTCAAAATTTGGATGTTAAAAACGTATCCAAAGTTATACTTCTTTTCTGATTAACCAAATACTTATTTGCTTCTTTACTCCCTTAAATATCCTTCTATTCTCTCTCTTTGCTTTCTGCTATGTCTTGTTTTGCAGTTATCTTATTACTTCCACCTTTCCTTTCCTTGTCCTTTTGTTTTCCTCCAAGTCCTTCCTCCAAGGACTCTATTGCCTTCCAAAGAGCACCACAATATCCTGAGCCTGCCAAGTCAGCAGGTCTGCCGTTTTCTACATACCAGCTGTTATTTTCAGATTTTGGCTTTCTCTGGGGTTTCCCCCTGGCTAGCACATTGTGCTTTTGACCTTGACAGTGTCTCTTGAGGATGTGCAAGATATGAAAATGAGAAAGTGACATAAGAGCTCCTGGATACGGATATCTTTGTGTCTATACACAGCTTTTAATAGCTACCAAAGCTGCCCTTCACACAACTCTGCAGACCTCCTGCCTTGGGCAGATAGGTGTTGAATAATCCTTTGCCATGAATCATTTAAGATGTCCAAATCACTGGGAAGAGTAGCCATGTTGAGACACACAGTTATTGAATGGCAAATATAGGATTTGGATTTTAAAATAGAAAGTATCCAAAAAATAGACACAGCATCTCTATTTTTATCATATAGCAATCAGAATTAATATTTTTAATGAGCATATCATTTCATTTATAAGTGAGTCCCAAGCCTCAAAAAGCTGAAAAGTTTAGCAAAGCCATCAATGCCCCTCACTTTGAATAGATAATGAAATGCGAGGATAATGGCTTCATTTATTACTTAGTTAAGAGGAATCACAAATCCAGCTCATTAAGCATTTCCTTTATATTCCATTCTTGATCTCATTATTTAGGACCATAGAATCTCAAGATATAAAACATAACTCTATGTAATTCTACCCTACATATAAGTTTTTCCTTACAATGTCCACAATGCCTGCATCCAACTTCTACTGAAACATCTCTAGTGCCTTCTTTCTAGGAGGAGGAAAAAGTGCTGTTGACTAAGATTTCTCAGTAATGCCTGAGGGTCATAGGGAACATTTCCTCACCAGTATCTTGTGGGGGGCAAGGGTGGTGTGTGGGAACACTCCAGGAGCTGGGCCTTCCCATACTGAAACATAGTTTAGATATGACACATAGCTAAAATAGGTCTCAGTTTCATTATTCTTTCAGTTGTTTAGTTCAAAATCAAAAATAATGCCTAAATGCACTGGCATAGAGGATATCATAGCAGTTGTGAACAAGGGCTCTAATGTGACATAGACCTTGGTCTAACCTCACTTCCTCAATTTACTAGCTCTGTAGCCTTGGGCAAGTTGTGCAGCCTCTAAGCCCTAATTTCCTTATATGTGAATTACAGATACTATTACCTACAATATACAATTAACCTAATACACATAAAGCACTTAGGACAATGGCTGACCAATACGAGGTGTACACTAACTACTAAACTGTTCCTACTGCATAGATTTTACACAGTATTTTCCAACTAAGATACTGCCCAATATAGAGCATAATTTTGTCATATATTAGTCTTCCATAATTTCACTTATTTATAAAGTTTTGAATCATGTGGAGTAAAAAGTAAATACATAAAATGCCACCTGTGAGACTTGGAAATAGGAGAGTTGGAAATTTGGGAGGTTTAGTTTAATCATAAACTGTTCCAGAATGAACACAAGGTCTAAATGTTTTATAAATTAAAGGGTTAAGGCAAAGATCAAAACTCTGGTATAAGGGACTCAGACTTCTAATTTTTTTCTGTGGTTAACTGTAAACCATCTTGCAGTATTTTAGAAGTGTAGGTTTCTGATTTTGTTTTTGTTTTATTTCTACTCCAGCATTGTGAATAGAGGATGACTTGTGTGGTATAATGTTGAAAATTAAGCAGGCACCAAACATCCACTGACCCTCACCCAAAATAGTTTTTTAACAAGCCTATCGAAATGTATAAAATTCTACCATTCTCATTCACTTTGGGGTGTGTGTGTGTGTGTGTGTGTGTGTGTTGAAGTAATAGATGCCAGAAGTCTCTGGCTGAAATTCAAAGAACCCTAGCAAAGGTATGTAACATATTTAGTGACTAAGGCCATTAAGGTTCCTTAGGCTAAACCTCCAACATGGCCTTGAGAATAATGTTTTTGTTTGTTTGTTTGCTTTTAGAAGATCTACACTTCAGATTACACAGCTCTGAGCATTTTGGAGAAGTGGTCTATTGCAGGCTCTCCCATGCCTTAGCTGTTGGACTCTGCTAAGTCTACCTCATGAGAATCTTGAGCTTGCAGTTCTCATCAGGTGCTATGTCACAGGTTGTCGTCACAGAGACCAGCCAGGAAACACACTGAATTAGACAGGGAAATGAAAGGAGTGAAGACAGAGGAAAGGGAACCACAGGCGTTGATTACAAACTTTGCACACTTTTGCCTAGAGAAAGTCTTGAATCTGATAATTGGATTTAAACTCCTGGATCAGTTTGAAATTAATGTTTAAATCAAAACTGTTTGATTGGGGCTGGGTGCAGTGGCTCACGCCTATAATCCCAGCACTTTGGGAGGCTGAGGTGGGCAGATCACTTGAGGTCAGGAGTTCGAGATCAGCCTGGTCAACATGGTGAAACCCCGTCTCAACTAAAAGTACAAAAATTAGACAGGCATGGTGGCGTGTGCCTATAGTCCCAGCTACTCGGGAGGCTGAAGCAGGAGAATTGCCTGAACCTGGGAAGTGGAGGTGGCAGTGAGCTGAGATTGTGTCGCTGTACCCCAGCCTGGGCAACACAGAAAGACTACGTCTCAAAAAAAAAAAAAAAAAAAAAAAGAACTGTTTGATTAGCAGGCTGTGGCATAGCAATTGAAATGCAAAAGATAAAAATAAACCTTGATCATTAGAATGAGTATTGCTTTAAAAAAAAAAAAAACAACATGGCAAAATAAATAAAACTATGTAGCATACAAGTGTCCATTTCCCCTTTTCCTTTCAGTGTGAAAAGGTGCACATAAACACTTGCATAGTGTTGAAGAGCTTAATTTTGTCCATAAATGAGGCTGTATGTTGAAATTGGGGAAATTGAAGATGTCCAGTGGGGGACTGAAATTTTTTAAAGTGCAATTTACAAGTAAATAAATTCCCCATTTCCATTAGTGACAATGACTTGAAAGATCTGATGCCCTTCAAAGCTCAGAGTTGTCTCCAGGGGAAACTGCAGGGCCTGGTGAGAACACTAATGGGGACTCACTGAACCGCTGGGGCCTCGTTATTATCTTACAAATTCTGCTGTGAAATCCAGAGGACATCATTTAGTTTCACCAAATAATAAAAGCAATGGCATGAGCAAACAACTGATCTTTACACTTGCTATGAAATTTAGATGAAGACTTTTAAACAATAGGACAAGCACAACTGGAGAAAAACAATTTAAAACTATGACATTGGACCACTGCCTATTGTTCTTAGTCCTATTAAAAGCATAAAAATTTATTTGGCGGTTTATACCCGCAGAAATCTAGGTGATAGAAAAAAGGAAAGGGTGCTATGGATCAAAGTTTGTGTGTGTTTTTGGTTTTCTTTTTTTTTTTTTTTAAGACAGAGTTTCACTCTTGTTGCCCAGGCTGGAGTGCAATGGCACCAACTTGGCTCACTGCAACCACTGCCTCCCGGGTTCAAGCCATTCTCCTGCCTCAGCCTCCCGAGTAGCTGGGTTTACAGGTGCGTGCCACCACACCCTGCTAATTTTTTGTATTTTTTAGTAGAGATGGGGTTTCACCATGTTAGCCAGGCTGGTCTAGAACTCCTGACCTCAGGTGATCCACCTGCCTCAGCCTCCCAAAGTGCTGGGATTATAGGCGTGAGCCACAAAGTTTCTGTTTTTAATCCATACAAAGTCATATCTTAAACTTAGGTCATTTGTAGTTATACATTTTATGAATCATCATGGGAAACAATGACATTACATGAAATTGGGAGCCCTCCTGGAGAAAGACAGGGATGATCGGTTGTCAGGGGCTTCCTCGCTCCTCTCTAGAAAGCCTTTCCCATTAGAAAGACTTTTTCATCCCTCCATTCTCATGGTCCTTACACCACTCATTTTGAAAGTGAAGCCCTTGGGAACCTCCCTGATACAAATCAAAATTTCAATGTTAAAAAACAAGTTTGTCTTTTTAAAATGAATTGAGGATGGTGCAAGCTAGCCAGGCTTGATGTTGGTTACTTTTTCCACTGGTGTATGGATGAACTAGACTCGAGACTTTTGGATTTCCTAGATCAATAATAATTAAAAAAAAAAAAAACCCAACTGGGGAATGTATTTAAGATGGCTAAATAAGAACATTAAAAATAATCTCTCCAAGAAAATACTCTACCACCATCATTTAATTTTGTCCATTGTGGTAAAATATATATTTAAAAAATTGCTATTTTAACCATGTTTAATTCAGTGCCATTAATTACTTTCACCTTGTTGCGCAACCATCACCACTACCCCTTTCCAAAACTTTTTCATCATCCCAAACAGAAAGTTAATTTCTTTCTGACATTCCAAACTGATAGACATAGACTCAATTGTCAGCTCCATAATGAATTATTTGAAAAAAAAATGCACAAGGTTTTAAAAACAGTTCTTTATTTTGTGACATTTGTTAACACTTTGGCAGATTTGGATGTTTAATACTAACACTTTGGAAGCTGTTATTTTCCTTAGGGTAGCCAAAGCCTGCAGGAGAATGAGCAGCCAGGATGGATTTGTGTCCATCACTGTGCTTACCATGGTCTATTGCAAACAATCACTCTGCCTTGTTTATGTTGTTTCTCCAGCATCAACATAGTGCTTGATGCAATAAGTGTCTATGACTGAAATATACTAGTGCTGCATACAGCTTGGGCCTGGCTATGGCAGTAAACATGGATATCTGAGCTTGCTTCACACCACACTACCTCTCTAAAATGAAAACACTTTATAAAAACAGTTATGTACATTAAAGACACCATATTTAAGTAGAATACGTAATTTAAACATTTGTCTCTCGTACTTTACACATTACATTTGAGTAGGACACAAAATTTAGAAAATAAAGAGTGCCTCACTTATTAACCTTTAACTTTATCATTATTTTGTTTCCTTAAGACTGGAAGAAATCTAATTTCTCCTGAAACTGCTCACCTGGAGTCAGAAGAACCTATCTTTTGGTCATGATTCTAATGTGTCTAATCAGATCGCATCAGAAACCTTTCCAGGTGCCCACCCCCATCCATGCTAACCCTCTCCCTTCGCGTCCAGCCTTTACTGTTCTTTCAAAGAGTTCATTACTTTTATCAGAGACCAAGTTTTAGCTTGCTTCCCCAGCTATTATTGAATGCAGAGGATCTTGAGTCTCTAGAAAGGAAGACGGTAAGAAAGGTAGTAGAAAAATGATCTCATTCTTGCCTTGTGCCCTCACCTACTTTATTTGAATTTGAAACCTGGAGCTGGGTGCAGTGGCTCATGCCTGTAATCCCAGCACTTTGGGAGGCAGAGGTAGGTGGATCACCTGAGGTCAGGTGTTTGAGACCAGCCTGGCCAACATGGTGAAACCCCGTCTCTACTAAAAATACAAAAATTAGCCAGGCATGGTGGTGCACACCTGTAATCCCAGCTACTTGGGAGGCCGAGGCAGGAGAATCGCTTGAATCTGGGAGGCGGAGGTTGCAGTGAGCCAAGATTGCACCACTGCACTCCAGCCTGGGTGACAGAGCGAGACTTCATCTTAAAAAAAAAAAAAATCTGGAATTTTTCTCTGGCACATCTTTGCTTTCACCTGGAAGTTTAAACTTTGACCTGAAGATACAAAGGAGTATGTGTGCTTCTTACCATTTATGAGAATTCAAAAGTTTGTGTAGTGTAGTTTGACATAAAGTATATCTGAAAGTATTCACAAGAAACTAACAGCCTTGGTAGACTATGAGAAGTTGTGGGGAAAAGTGTGTAGAGGAAGGCTTGGGAGATTTTCACATGTACACTTCCATATTTAAAAAATTTTAAACCATGTGAATGTACCACCCATGCATAAACTAAATAAAAATCTTATAAAAATAAATGTAGAAGTTGAGGGAATTTAACAAATAGACAAGAACCTTTTATCTAGAGTCTCTCTACACAAGAAGCTGGTAGCCATAATTATACTATATTATTATAATTGAAGGATTATATTTTCTCAGTATACCTATTGCTGTGTTACTAAAAATGTTATCTTTAAACATGTATTTAAAACACGAAATACATGGTATCACATTTCCCTATTTTTTAAAGATACTATTGCTGAAGATAGTAATTGTTGTCTGGTTTTGAACCATAAAGGAAAAAAATCTAATGCTGAAAATAGGATAAGTGGAGATCTTTGATATAAAGTGATTGGTGCTGTTTTTCATCATCTGTGACCTGCCTTTTGGTCTCACAGGCTACGAGATTGTACTCCTCCCATCCAGCCCACTTCCCAACCCTGCCAGGGGCTACCTTCTCTGCACCCACTGTGTAGTCTTCATGCTCTGCTCTTTGCTATCAATCTACAGCTAAATTGTGTTTTTATAATTTCTCAAATGGCATGTTTTGCCTTCCTGTTGAGATCTGCATTATCACATGTGATATGCCAGGAAGCTATGATTTGGTAGGTATTGACCAAATCCATCATTTTCTCTTTCCTTAGAGCTAAATGGATTATGTGATGGGAAACTGCTCAATACCAAAATATAGTACTGTTTTGAGTGATGCTGATCATGAATGGGTACTATGTTATGATCCATGTTTCATAGTAAAAAAATGAAGATAAATTCTATCACTATTTTGGAGCCTGGAGGTTTATCTATGGCAATGTTTAAAAAAAGTTTTTCAAGAACAGTGGAATTCCTTGCCCCCGCAAAGGATATCTAAGACAAACCTTTTCCATGTAATCTTATAAACGTGAGCCTCTCTGCTTGAGATGGGCATCACGAGGCCCCAAGGAGCTCTAGGAAGTCAACTGAACATAGTTTAAAAATCACTGTTCTGAGATGTACACCAGAAACTCTGATAATATCCTGATAAATATTCTGTCTCCTCTTAATTCTCTTTTCTTAATCTTTTTTTTCTAGCAGGAAGAAGTAAAGTGTGAGGAGGAAGTTTAACTCTGTTCTGTTGATAAAGTTGTTTGTGGCTTCTGCCTTTCCACATTCATTATTTCATTTCTTTTCTCAGCAGTTATAGAGTATTAGTTAAGCATATGGACTATATCTCTTACATTGTGTCACTTAACCTTTCTGTACCTCAGTTTCCTCATCAGTAAATGGAAGTAAGTCATCTTCATCCCTGGGTTCTTGTGAGGGTTAAAGGAAGTAATTCACATTGAAAACTTAGCTTGGTGCCTGGCCTATAGTGAGTGCCCAGCTGGTGTAGACTCTTACTAGCAAATATTTACATGTCTAAAATGTGCCTGGTGTACAAAACAGCGTCTATCTTCTACACTGTCTTCTTTACCGTGCTCTTCCAGAAGGCAGTTCCTAGAAAGTGTTGGTTCCTGAGAAATTCACATCTCATCAACTCTTGAGGATCGCCTAATCTAGTGGTTCTTAGCAAGACAGGAGTGCATTTCAGGACTACTATTCTAGAAGCCTTTTTAAACAAACATCACTATCTTTCCACCTATGCCTATGTCTTTGTCATCTATATCTATATCTATATCTATACCTGTGCCTATATCTATCCATCTATATCTACATTTATATCTACCTGTATCTATAGTATTCAATTCCTGTCTGCCCCTTCCTCTATTTCCTTGGGGGTTTCAGACAGTTTGTATTTGGGGTGGATGTGGAATGTGTATATTTGCAGTTGCCATCCATTCCTTGTTCCTCTTACCCCTGTTAAGAATCACAATGGTGGTCTGTGAGAAAAGCTTCTTTTTTTTTTTTTTTTTTTTTTTTTTTGAGACGGAGTCCTGCTCTGTTGCGAAGGCCGGAGTGCAGTGGCGCGATCTCAGCTCACTGCAAGCTCTGCCTCCCGGGTTCACGCCATTGTCCTGCCTCAGCCTCCCAAGTAGCTGGGACTACAGGCGTCTGCCACCCCGCCCGGCTAATTTTTTGTATTTTTAGTAGAGACGGGGTTTCACCGTGTTAGCCGGGATGGTCTCGATCCCTGACCTCGTGATCCGCCCGCCTCGGCCTCCCAAAGTGTTGGGATTACAGGCGTGAGCAACGGCACCCGGCCCAGAAAAGCTTCTCTAAAGCCCAAGACCAAACTTTATTTCTCTTAGTGATTTTATTTCTTCTTAAACGTAGTTATATAAATTGAATGGAATAAAATGGGGACCATTTTTACCTATTGCATCATGCAAAAGATGCCATGAAAAGGCTTTGATGTTGCTGTGTGTTCATGTATGGGTTTGGAGCACAAGAGCCAATCTGCCTGAATTTAATCTCATCCTCAGCACCTAACAACCATGTGACCTGGGACAAGCTATGTAACCTTTCTCAATTTCGGAAGTTAACCATCTTTTAGCTGGGATTATAGGCACCCGCCACCGTGTCCGGTTAATTTTTCTATTTTTAGTAGAGATGGGGTTTTGCCATGTTGGCCAGGCTGGTCTTGTACTCCTGGCCTCAGGTGATCTGCCCCCCTCGGCCTCCCAAAGTGCTGGGATTACAGGCGTGAACCACCATGCCCAGCTGGTTAACCATCTTTATATCATCTTATGGTGAGTGCTAAATGAGATGACCCAGGTAATGAACTTTTTATGAGAAATACACATAGTAAGTGATTTTAAATGTTAATATTAATTTATTACTGTTGTTATCATTGTTAATTCTGATGTAACTTGTTATAGAAGTAAAAATAATCTTAGTATCTTTGTCAACTTAGAGTTGTCTGCTCTGGTTAATAATTTTCAGAATTTAAATTTTTCTGTGTTATCAAAGATTTATGGATAAATAACTAGCATTTAATGCTTATGTTTTAGACCTAGAAAACACAAACCAGGTTATCATAATTATAGAGTGATTAAAGAACACAAGAAAATGAAATAAAATTAGAATATTTTACTAATATGTTGAGTGACATTCTTAATATAAACATACTCTCTAGGAGTTTAACTATATTAGAGGTTTGTTTCAAAGGATATGGGGAAACGAAAACATTAGCATGAGTCATTCTTCTTCATTAGGCTGTAATTATCTACCACTCCTTAATTGTTGGAAATGTGCCTTGATGTGGTAAAGGCATAGAGCTCAACTCTACTTGTCTCCATTCAGACCACTTCCACTTTGTGGTAAAGTGTGAGGTTAAGTAATTTGTAATTTGTAGAATGACACTGTTGGTTGTATATACTGATAAGGCTAATGTCTTCACTTAGTAAAGAAGACGTCGAAATAATCCCATCACAGGAGTCAATCCTAGAGGCAACAGAGGATAAAAAGGAACTTTGATTTTTTTATCTAATAAACATGAATCAACAGCCTACAATGGGTCAGGTAATAAGTTTAGTGCTGAAACAAAACAAAAGGCAAGTCAAACACAAATGCCCAGGTGGGCAAGGCTGAGGGGAGTGAAGAGAGCACCTGGACATGATGAGGATGATAAAGAGTGGAAAAGACTGTACCTATTGTGGGGAGCACAGGCCCCGTTCTAAACAGTCAGCAGATACAGGTTCCCAGTGATGCTGTCTTAAGAGGATGAAGGCTGAAAAATAGCAGGCCTTTGGATTTTTCAACAGAGGCTAGAAATACATTTTTAATGCAAAAATCTCTTATGTCCAAATGCTTGCAACTAATTTAAAATTTTAAAAAATCATATGAGAAAAGTAATTCCACACATCAGTGATCAAGGTTCAGACTCTGGGAAGTGAATATGTGCCCTCTGCATTTTCCTTTATCCCACCTGTCGGTATTGAGGGTCTTCAAAACTCATACTAGGTCCATCTCCTTCCCTTTATCTGCATATTCCCCCTCCCCAGGTGATCTCATCTGGTCCCATAGTTATAAATACCACTTATGTGCTGATGATTCCAAAACATTCTTGCATTATACTTCTTCCTGAGCATGAAACTAGTAAACCCATCTTCCTGTTGGTCCTATATTGAATGACAAATAACTAACTTGAGTCCCTCCTCCCTCGCCCAAATCTGTTCTCCCAGTCTTTCTCAATTTAGTTTATGCCTCCATCATCCATCCTTCGGTTCATGCCAGACTCTAGCAGCTGAGCTTGAGGTGTCTGTTTCCCTTAATTCCTACATCCAATCTATCAGTAATTGCTGCCATTTCTTCCTTCACTTTTTTTTTTTTTTTTTTTTCAAATTGGTTCATCTCCATCCCTTTTTACTGCTACCATCCTGGTCCCTGCCACCATGATTTCTCACCTGAACTTTCAAGATCCTCCTAAAAGGTAGCCTCACCTTTACTCTTGGCCCACCGTAATCCATTATTCACATGGTCTTTTATAAATGTAAATCACATTATGTCACCCTTTGCTCAAACAAACCTTTTAAACATTTTCAAATGATTTTGGAATAAAGTCTGAACTCTGAACTCTGGACCACTTATAAAGTACTGTGGTCTGCCTCCTGCCTACTCTCTGAAAGCACAACCTCCCCTCTGACAGGCTGCAGTCTCTTGGGCTTCTTTCGGTTTGAAAGCATCAAGCCTATTCTAATCTCAGAGAATTTGCATTTTCTACTTTTTCTCCCTGGAATGCTCTGCCTCTGGTTTTTTATGTGACCGTCTCCCACTCATTATTCAGATCTCAGCTTGATGTCCTTGCTTAGAGGGCACCTCCCAAACTCGTCCTCAATGGCAAACGAACGCCATTGGGCCCACTGCCCCCTCAGTGCTCTCTCACAACCTTTTTTTCCCTTAAAAACATTTGTTTTTTTTTGAGCCCTAGTCTCACTCTATCACCCAGGCTGGAGTGCAGTGGCACAATATCAGCTCACTGCAATCTCCTCCTCCCGGGTTCAAGCGATTTTCCTGCTTCGGCCTTCCAAGCAGCTGGGACTACAGGCATGAGACACCAGGTCTGGCTAATTTTTGTATTTTTAGTAGAGACAGGGTTTCACCATGTTGGCCAGGCTGGTCTTAAACTCCTGACCTCAAATGATCTGCTCCCCTCGGCCTCCCAAAGTGCTGGGATTATAGATGTGAGCCACTGTGTCTTCCAAAAAAAACTTTTATATTTATTATTTATATGTAATTTTGCTTTCATTTATTTATTCAATTATGTACATAAGCCAAATAATGAGTTATAAGAAAAAAGGCCGAAGTTCAGGAAGCTTTATTTTAGAACACACTTTGATTTTAATATATTGTGGGAGGTCTATAAAATGCTGTTACCATATGCATCTTTTAGAATAAGGTATTCTGTTTATACGGAAACATTTAAAGGAAGCATTATCTATCTAATCAGCTTTTTAGTACTTTGGTACTTTAAGCTCTTAATTAAGACCCTTTGTTAATGACTGTGATAAAAGACAAATCAAAATGAGGATATGAAAATAATCATATGCAGATTTTTGGAGATTTAAAACCTGACAGCATAATTGACAACATTTTTCAAGAGAAAGTAAGAATTGTTCATAACCCATATAATACTGGAGAAGAAAATTTGAAAATTTAAAAATTTGTAATTTACCTTTCTGTGCTGAAGAAACCAAAAAGAAAAAAAAAGAGAATAAAAAGCCTTGTATAAAAGTGTTCATTATTTTTTGCCAGCAATATTATTAGTCATAGATAATCGTGAAATCATTCTGAACAAATATAGTCATCTAGAAAGAAAATATATTCGTGTCATATATCTTGTAATGTATAAGGCTACATTATACATATCTTTGACTTACATGTCTTTCCTTTCACCTGCTCTTTCTCTACCCTTCAGTAACTCTGAGCCAAAAAGACAACATAATTTCCAATGCTTTCCAGGAACAAGCTAAAGCAGGGAGGGAAGCAGCATTTCAAATAGAATCAGCTAGAAGTGGAAATCTCCTCCCTTCAAGGGTATGTTTTCAAAGGCGTTTTTATTTTAAACTTTCAATCCCTCTTTAGAAATAAGATAGGACTCTCCTTTGTTCCTACTTTTTTACCTAATCTCCATACTTGACTGTAGTAAAATGCTTCTTGTTCTAACATACTTCATTCATTTTATACATGATGGATTATGGCCTTTCTGGGTTTTCTAAATCCAAAATGTCTGTTTTTCTTTTGAGTCAACAGTGTTTGGAAAAGGTAGAGAGAATTCTTATTTAACTTATTTTGTTCAGTATACTCCACAGCACAATCCCTGAGCATGTAAATATTACTCCACACACCTTAGACATGGTGACTAGTCACTGACTAACAGTGAAGTCAAGTAACCAACATGTTGAATTAAACCAAGATTAAAATGATACTATTTGTACTGACTACTTGATAATCATTCTTGAAGGCAGACAAGTCTAGGGCTAGTGTATTGTGGCAACACAAAATACACAAAATATTTTTGAAGTAATTTTATTTCAAATAATTTCCTATGTTTTTAATGTTTTCATTTTGAAATAAGAATATTGCTTTAAAAACGATTTCATTTTCTCCCTAGATACTATTAGTTTGATAACCTCTTGATTGAATATTTTAATTTCTTAGCATTTTGGTGTTTGTATTCCAAAAGACTCTTCCAAAATGGTAATTTTCCACTTTCCACTTAAAGAACATAATCAATAAAGAAATCTAAAGCTATTATTTCTTGATATTTGGTAAAATCAGAGAATCAACATGTTGAAATCACTGTAATACTAAGCCATTAAGCTATAGTGCTTTAGCTGAGTCAAGGTTCTTGTAGAGCTGCAACCAAAAAGAAAGGCGTCACTATTTAATAGGATTTTCTTGGTATTTGGGAGAGTTTCCAAACAATCATTGGCTTCACACATACTATGCTGATTTCAGCACAAAGGATAAAACAGAGAAAACAATGTCTGTTTAGTATGGATTTGTTACTACCTGCAAAGATTATTCAATATAAGCTTTTATACCTGGAAATATTATAGAACTGTATTGTTTTAATAGTTCACAGAATAGCATAGAATTCAGCATTCTAGATTTTTCAATATCAAGTTTAGAAATATTCTTAAGATGTATTTTATGAGTTCAGCTCTATTAAGTGATTAAAAATTTAATGGATATAGTTCAAAGTTCTAAATAATAAGCTCTTTTAGTTTGGTAACTACTTACTCTTTTCTCTACATTTCCACCTTTATTTAACACTTATTTTATTTTTTCTTGCTTGCTTGTTGCCTTGATAATATTGTCAGTAAACACACTGAGGAGATGGTTTATATTTCCACAGAGAATAACCCAGTGTTTTGCATGGAGGTGGCCAATGTTCAGCAAATGGCTGAATTCTGTTTTCTCAAAAGGACACACAAATACAAAGAAGACAAGGACATGGGCTAGCAATTATGCCTACTGACAGAAGCAAAGTTGGTAAGAAAATATATATTTCTGTTACCATGATTAATAGCTCTTTATTCTTAGTAATGACTGTCTCTCTCACTAGACTATAAATTGTTGAATGCAGAGACTGTATGTTTTGTCATCATATCCCTAATGCCACTACATAAGCACCTAACACATTTGTTGAATAAATAAGTTGTCTATAGGTGTATATGCATGGGTGCAATATATGAGCATTTTTACATATGTATGTATACTCCTACATATATACTTTTGTTCTTTACTTTTGAGCTCATTTATTATATTAATATGGTGATATTCCAAGTTTGATCAAATGGCAAGCCTATGTTTAATGCTGTGTGTTCTTATTTTCATTTTTGGTTTCATGCCCTCTTGTAAATTGATAAGAAATTTAAGATTTAGTCATCTAATATGGATGATGTGCTAATTTTTATAATTCCACGATGGAATTCTCTGATGTTTTATAGCTATTAGTTTTTAGACAGAATTATTAACTATATATATATAAGTATATTTCCACCTGTGATTTATAAAATATTTGTAGATATTTTTCCTGGTATTTGTAGATTTTGCTTTGGTGGCTGCAAATAAGATATTCTGCCTCAAAAAGACGAAAATGAATTGATGTAGCTTTTCCAAACAGACTCAGATAGTTTAAATAAGTTTTAGGTGGGAGAGAGAAAATTAAGACAGAGTAACATGTATCCAGTTCTCCCATTAAACTTTGGCTCTATAGATGGTTTGTGATCATACATTATTAGATTCACCCACTCCTTGTGATACATTCTGTACCACCAAATCCCAAATCTGCAGTTATTACATAAGGAACAGGATAGCATTTCAGTGACCAAATGTAAATCCAATACTCTTCAAAGATGCATACATGCATGAGGAAGATTGCTGCAACTTGTCTTTGGCGGACTCTCATGGAGTATCAGATGCTGCATGTTATGTGGGAGCCATGCACAAGACCAAACAAAATTTGCAACCCAAATTCATAATTCTCTTGTTCATCTGCTGCTTCTCATTCCATGAATTGAAAATATTTCCCTGGGATTTGGAAAGGCTGAACCAAAACTTGATTAGAAAAAACAACTGGATTTTGGTCCTGGATTTATTTAGCAAACATGTATTGATCACCTACTATGTGCCAGTTGTTGGGTTTATGTGACTGGGATGCATCACACAAAGATTCCTGCCTTCATGAAGCTGTTCAATATTCTTGTGGTAGAGACAGATGACAAACAATTACATAAAAATAAGTAGAGTATACAGCCAGTGCTACAGAGAGAAAGAAAAGAAGGGTGAGAGAGATTAGGATACCAGAGGGGGACAGATTGCAATAGTCAGGGTGACTTCATTAAAAAGGTGAGAAATAAGCTCAGATTTGAAGTAAAGGAAGGGGTTAACTAGATAAACGGACTTTTATCAGCCAGGTAGCCTGGGACAAGCAATGCAAAGCTCTGAGTCTTGACTTCTTCATTCGCGAATTGGAAGATTGGTCTAGACAATCGCTACCAAAGTCCTTTTAAGTTCTTAAATTGTGTGAACTATGATTTAGCTGATGCCAACATTACGGAGTGAAAGCAGTCATCTAGCTAATGTTCATTAAGTGCACACAATGTGTCACATGCTGCTAAATGCCAGCGATGTCACAGCATTTAACAAATGCTCATTATGGTAGTGACAATTTAGAAGTATCTCATTACCTTCATCATTCATTTGTTCACTCACTTATTCAACAAACATACATTGAGCACCTACTATGTGCCTGGCACTGCTCTATAGTTGGAGTTAGTTACAAAGCTGAGAGACAATCTGATGAGGGAGGGAGGCATGTTAGCAGGAAGTCCGTGTGAGGACTGAACCAGATTTGAAGAAGGGGAGGCAGGTTCAGGACACGCAGCAGGAGGAGGAATAGTGAAGCTGAGAGAGGAGTGTGCACTTCTGCCAGCGGTTCTGGATAGACTTTATTTTTTTCTACTTACAGACATAAACTTCTGGCAATTCCTTATTAAGTAAATCTACTTGTTTTATTTGTTGACAAAAGTGACAATTACTTTTACTTATTAAATAGAAGGACACAGTTTTCATTTCTGGGAGTTCCTCTTGTTCTGCCTTACAAAAATTTAAAGTAGCGGATCTGTGCTCACATAGTAAATACATTAAGGGAAAATATTACTTATGTTTGGAGAACTTTAGTTTCTACCAGGAAAGTAAAAATGGTCAGATAATATTTAATGTGACTGGGGAGGCTGGGCGTGGTGGCTCACACCTGTAATTCTAACACTTTGGGAGGCTGATGTGGGCTGATCACCTGAGGTCAGGAATTACCAGCCTGGCCAACATTGCAAAACCCCGCTGCTACTAAAAATACAAAGAGTAGCAGGGCACTGTGGCAGGCACCTGTAATCCCAGCTACTTAGGAGGCTGAGGTAGGAGAATCTCTTGAACCTGGGAGGCAGAGGTTGCAGTGAGCCAAGATTGAGCCATTGTACTCCAGCCTGGGCGAGAGAGCAAGACTCCGTCTCAAAAATAAATAAATAAATAAAAATTAAAGTAATAATATGAATGGGGACATTTTAAATTGTGAAATTAAAGAAGGCAAAGAAAAGAACTTATAAAATGTTTACTTTATTAGAATTAAGGTGATGATATGTTCTGTTAACAAATGTACTTTGAAAAGCATGAATTTTTTTGACCAGTATTTGTAGTCTGTTTTCTATTTAAAAATCAATTTTCCATAACAGGGAGGAAGCAATAAACATAATGATAACAACCACCTGGATAAGTATTGGCTCTTGGGAACCAGGCACTGTACTAAGCACTTTCCACATATTATCTCATTTAATTCTCACAAAGCTCTATTGAATAAGCAGGCATTAGGTCTGATTTTACAGAGGGGTAACTGGGATTTGGAGAGATTAAGTAAATTTTCCAAGGTCTAAGCTAGTTAGTGGCATTACAGGAAAGACTGAAACTTGTCATCAGAAGACCTCTGCTTGAACACCAAATGCAGGAAGCACTGACTCTGACCTTGATAAGGTCAAGTAGTTACATGTTCATCTATTTTGCTTTGCATATTGGTTAATAGGCAAATGGTCATAAAATTTCTCTGTTATCTGTAAATGTCTTCTAAAAAGTTGTATTTTGAAGAGTGTATTCATCATCTCTAAAATTCTATGGTAGTTGAAAGGCTACACAAAAGTTTTTGGACCTGATACAAATATTATAAATATTATTCTTTCTGTGTGATTTGATACTCCATGTAAAACTCTTCCTAATGGTCTCAAGTTTCAAAGGATTTAAAAGTAAAGTAAAGTAGCCACATTGTGACATGAGGAACAAAATCCATTAGTTTAGTGTATAGAGAGGATATTAACAGTGGCCCCTCTTCCTGTAGAGGTATTTGAGAACATAACTATTGCCTACATTGAGGACAGTATGTTATATACAAGCTAATATCTTGATTGCATATTTTTAGTAGACTTTGTGGACAAATGAAGTTTGCTTTCCTGTATGATCAAATTATTTCAATGAAAAATTAAAGGAAATGGATTAGTGTGTGTGAAATTTTTATCTAAAGCTAAGTCTTTTTCCATGGGAAGCTGGGAGAGATTTCTTTCTCATTACCAGAGAAATGTTTTTCACTAGAAATACCTTGCATAGGGGTCTACACTTGCTATTTTCTTTCCTGGCCATCTGCCTTTTTACCTTTGTTTTGTGTGTGTGTGTGTGTGTGTGTGTGATGGAGTCTCGCTCTGTTGCCCAGGCTGGAGTGCAGTGGCACCATCTCGGCTCACTGCAACCTCTGCTTCCCGGGTTCAGGCAATTCTCCTGCCTCAGCCTCCTGAGTAGCTGGGATTACAGGCACCTGCCACCACGCCCGGCTAATTTTTGTATTTTTAGTAGAGACGGGGTTTCACCATGTTGGTCAGGCTGGTCTCAAACCCCTGACCTCGTGATCCACCCGCCTCGGCCTCCCAAAGTGCTGGGATTACAGGTATGAGCCACCATGCCTGGCTTTCTTTCTTTCTTTCTTTTTTAATATCCAGATTAAACTTTTTTGTGTGTGTCTATATCTCTATAAAACCTCCCACAACAAAATTATGAGGAGGCTTCAGAAAAACAATTAGCTAACCCATACACATGGAACTCAAAAATGTATCATTAAAATGTTGAGCTTCTGCATCAAGGCAGCCAACAAAAAGTTGAGGCTGATTTGCACAATTTTCCCAATGTTGTTCAGACCTTGGGAACTTGGAGTACAAAAATAGAAATCTAATCAAAAATAGGAGAGAGTAATGATATTTTTACAGCAACGTGAATTTTCAACTATTTTCCATCACTAACAGAAGCTCATACTGCTTATCAGTACCATTCAAGAATCTGAGATTGAGATAGCTAATTTAATCATCTGACTAAATTCTTCAAAAAATTTGTGAGGATTTCAGCTCCCTAAAATTCCTTCTGGGCTATGTTTGATAAATAAAAGTTTTAAATATAAGAAAATATGCAGTATTTCAAGTAAGTAACGAAGCAAGTAAGTAATCTGCTTTGTTGATTCTTGTGCTACCTGATTTATTTTTGCATTATAAAAAACAGCTGGAATTATGGAAGGTCACTTGGAAGCAGTTTCTCTGAAGAACTATGGGATTTGAAAATTCAATCTGAATGCTATCACAAAAAAATTGTTGGGAAAAAAGTAATGAGAACAGGTATTTCATTTACGGGCATAACATCATAATCCTATGACCCAAATCACATTTCAGCATTAAATTTCCACAAGCCAAATATAGTTCTATTACTTGAAAGCTCTTTAGCAACTCTTCGAGGCAAGCCTGCACTTTCTAAGAATATGAATTTACAATTAAAATGAAGTGGACTATCAAGCCTTTTTAAAAATGTGGACAGTGTATGCAAATAATCTGGATAATCCTGATACTCTGGGTCAGAAATCCCCTTGCACTAAGTTTCAACAGAGGAGATGGGAATGGAAAGGCTGGAGTAACAGAAGTTTTCCTTCCTGAGATAACTTGAGTCTGACTTATAGGAGTAATTTTTCAAATGTTAGTACATTTTTAAAACACTATTCTCATACTCTGAGTGCAATTTTCATTAAATGGTTTGTACACAATTCATAATACAACTTTGGTATCTGTCATCTAATAACTTGAAACCATGGCTTAAGTTTCTATTGCATTGGGTATAAAACTGGTATTATTAATAACGACTAGGTATTACTATTTTGGCTGAATTGAATTCTGTCACTAGAATTCTGTCACTAGAAGGTAAAAGGGTATTATTCCTCATTAGAAATCTCTATGTGTAAATATCATATGGTCTTTGGGAAACAGCTCTGATTCTACTATATATTACAGAAACAGCTGAGTCAGCAGCTTGCAGAGTAAAATGTATGATTACAATTTCTTTTCTCAGTTCAACAGAGAAAAAAATAAAGCTGTTGGAAGCAAACAAAACTAAAAGAGATGTGTCTAAAATAGCTAGACATAGACAAATTCAGAATTCTATTTTGGTAGTCATAATACGTACAGGAAAATACTTCTAGACAGATTTACACTATCATTTGACCTTCACAAGTCATACTTTTCACAGTGAATGCAGTTTACTGAGGCTACGCTTTTGACCTTGAAGATGTAACTTAGAGTTTTATGTCTCTTAGCAAACTTATCATGCCTCTGGTACCCCAATGGAGTTTATCTAAAATTATCATCATCTGCTTAAACTGTTAAGTTCTATAATTCCTTTTTTAATTATTCAGCATCCAAGGGCAAGGAAAGAACTGTTCCTCTTATTGCATAAGTCTCAGCTTTCTTAATGCAGGATGTCCCTCATCTGAAGCTGGGACTGAGGAAATAGCTGCATTGTACTGCAGCCTCAAATCCTGCTACAGCTCTCAGGCTTAGGAATCAGCTGAGCTGAACAGAAATGTGCAGGGGCAATGTATTGGTCTATAGGAGCTAAAGCTTAACTGAAGCAGATTATAATAGGGTAAACTACTTTTTCCTGGACAATAGCTTGTCTAATTTTCATTTTATTTATATTGTTTCTCTTAATGATTAAACAGTTACTCTAACAGAATGACCTTATATCCTAAGTTTTACTTCCTATTTTCTCTCTCTGACTTGCATTTAAATGAACTTTATGGCCTCCATTTTACTTGAAGATAGCAACTGCACTTAACAGCCTTGAACGATTATACCAACTCACTGCAGCTGGACATTCTTAAGCTACTCAACTTTAATTGTCCCCAATTCTTAACTCTACTGTAATGCAATAGTGTTTAAAAGCCAGGGAACACGTTCACCAATTAGCAGAAAGGGAAAGAAAAAGTCAATGCAGCAGAACTAAAATTAAGAAACACTAGCCCAGCATCTCAACTCTAAGTAACTTAAAATTAATTAGGCTTTGATAAGAGAAGCTGTGTTTCCTTACCTTGGATGTGAATAGCTCTGTCATGATCCAGAGTATAGTTGTCTGAAAGATGATCAGCCCAGCAGATTGAAATCAGCACCAGAAGAAGTAGACTCTTCATCTTTATAGCCCAAAGAATCTTCTTCACTGCGAGAGCATCACATACAAAGAGGCTTGTGAGATTTGGAACCCTTTGGAGTGTTGCACTGCACAACTTATTACCGCCTTATCATCATAGAATGGGTCTGTAAAAATATTTAACCCAATCTGTTCAGAAAGTTACTGTAGCTGCCTTTAAGAGCCGAAGACGGCAGCTTTGAACAATTCCTGCTACCATCATGTAGCCAGAGTCCAAATAGTGTTTAACTCTATCTTTGCAGAATTGTAAATCTAGAAATTTAAAACACTGTAGTTTGGATAGAGAATTACAGCAAGTAACAAAGAGATGTGGCAAAAACATACACACTCTTAAAAAAATGTAAGCCTCTGAATTTGCAACATAAGTTAATAAAACAGCAATGTGTTATGTCTGTATATGAGTATCACTTGGTCTAATTAGAAAGTGAATCTAAAGCCAGGGCAAATAATATTTGCATGAAACTTGACATCGTCATTCATTTTACATGTGGCTTCCTAAGAAGGTTAGACTTGCTTGTTCCAAATAGAAAAGAGGACCAAAAAAAAGTGCCCGATTAAGCAGAAGCAGCACATTTGTTACAGATTCACTTACCATCTTACATACTGCTTGGGTCTACGGTGAATAGTTGAAAATTATGAACAAACTAGGTTAGAGTTGTGCACGCTACCACTGCAGTCATCCTGATTGATTTTTCATTCATTTCAACCTAAAATGCTGACGCACCAACTTAGAGTGCCAGGTAGGGTCTCTGCAGTCAGCGGATCCACGGCTGCAGGGAACGTCCCTGCCAGCCTCCCAGGGCAATTAGGCAAATGAAAAGCTGAAACAGACAGGGAGGCACAGATCTGGTCCTAAGTGAAAAAGGCAGAGCCATCACTTGCCTGTCCTTTATTGAAAGACCAATGTGATAAAAGGGGACATAACCTCTTCCCTCCCAAAAGTTTGTCATTGGAAGAACCAAAAGTGATTCTAAGTGATACGAACCTTATAACCTTTGCAGTATTTGCCAGGCAAGGATTTCAGTGGAGCTTCTTGGTTTTAATGTGGAAGCTGACACGAAAATTAACAAGGACCTTCTATTTCTCTCATGCACACAGCAGCCTTGACAATACCGGCTATTTTTAAAACTGAAATTGCACAGTACTGGCTTCTCACACTAATTTGTTTTTTCCAAGAAAGCCTGACTCCCTGGGATACTTATTAAAGAGCTCTGAGTCTGTTCCTGGAGGTCCTTGTAGGAGAGCCTCTACTCCAGAACCTAATTCACTTATTCACAGAAGGTCCCCAAGTCTCTTCTGAGACTGAAACATGTCTCTGTATTTTCCCCTGTGAAGATTTGCACTACTGTGATGCTGATGGCTTTAGTCTTTCACGTTTGCTTTAAATCTTTTCTTTTTCTTCATTATATCACATAAAGAAGATGGTAGATAAGCAAACAAATTGTGAAATTTATTTGTCAAGGAAACCAAGAATGTTAGCTTCAAAATTCTACCTGATTTACTAGTCTTATTTTCAGAAGTTCACTTCCTTGTTCCTCTAAGAACTTTTTTGAAATGCTTATTTTTGTTGTTGTTGTTGGTTGTTTGTAGTCACTAACTTTTGTCCACAAAATTACAGTTTAAAATATTACCTATTTTCAGCCCAGGATTGTGCTTTGGGTGAACAAATATAAAGGTGGCCTTTTGGAATTTGGAATATAATTGAGATAACTGTAAACACAAATATGAAACAACAGACAAACAGTACCAGAGTTGTGATGTGCTCTCTGCTTGTTTACAGGAATCAGAGAAGGGGCGCTGTGGAGGAGAGAGTATAAAGAAGGTGTATAATTTAACAATCAAACACAGGAGACATTCTAGATGAGGAGTCAAGATGAGCAAAGGTGGAGAGTTTGCTAAATTAATGTTCACGTTAGTGTGGTCATGTATAGTGTAATTTATAGGGAGCTGTATATGATACACACACTAGGTTAGAGTTGTTTATCCTACCACTGCAACCATCTTGAATTTCATTCGTCTTAAAAATATATGACACATCTATCTATGTATCTCCTTTAGTTCCATACCATAGTATTTAAAATTATACTACTAAGGGTTCATTCCAATGTGTTAAAGTACTGACTATCCAACAACCTAATTTAAAATTGTAAACGTCTTGAGTGCTTGTGAGGGAGTATGGGGAATAAACAATGATAAAAACACCTTTCATGGAATGTCTACTGTTCGCCAGCACTATAAGCAGCATTTTGTCTGCAATGGCTCATGGATTCCTTAGAACAATAATGTGAGACAAATATTTCCATTTCTTGGGATACAGACAGTAATCTTGCTGGAAGGTACACATCTAGTAAGTGGCAAAGTCTGTATTTGCCTTCAAGCAAATTTAATTTGTTATGTCTTTTGTTGCCTTTTTAAATTCAAGCTCTTTAACTTACAACTATGATCTTAAGACTTTGACTTGTGTTATATATGAATATAAACATTTTTCCCAAGACTTACATATTGAGAAGGCAGTCAGGTGGTATTTTTCTTAACATGATTTGCCCTGCCTCATTAATTATATCACTCTGGTACCATGAACAAAGTCTTGGTGGTTCACATGTGTGCACACATACACAGAGATATGCACACATACACAGAGATACGCACACATATACAGAGATACGCACACATACACAGAGATACGCACACATACACAGAGATACGCACACACAGAAAGATAGATACATACCATCTTTGAAAAATTCAAGTATATTGGACATCTGCAGTAACTTGTGATTAGAGGCCTCTATCAGTGAATACTTTAGAGTACCCTGTGCTGGATTCAATACAATCCAGGGAGGTGAGAATGGAAATTATCTTTGTTACTCTGGTAAGCACAACAACCATCTCACCAGTAGACATGAAACTAGAAAAGTATACTTTAGGGTCACAGTCTTCAGGTGTCTGAGCAATAAGCTATATAAAACAAGGTGCTGCACACCAGACTGAGGTCATTGAGGTCAAGGGCTGTGCCACGGGTCTAAGTGCTGGTCCCAGTAGAAAAGGACACCTCAGACATAGTAGGTGGTCATGTGAGTAAATAAATCTGAGTCCTGCTTGTTTGCATTTTGTAATCATGCCTCCTCTTAATGTCTAGGTATGTTAGGTAAAAATTTGCAGTTTTTGATATGAGCTAAAATTTAGACAATCGGGGAGACTTTTCCACAACCAGCTATTATCAACTCCTGAATTAGTGCTCTCAGTTCACCTGCAATTCACACATTGAAGGTCTCTTTTCACAGCCTTACAAATCTTAATGCTCGATCAGCCAGCTTCAAGATGAATCCAAACTGAAATGTCTATGTTCATAGTCAAAGACAGATAATAGGAATGTAATTTTACAGTCCTGCTTTGTTGATAATTGAAGCATGATTTGGAAGCAATATACCTTATCCAATGTGAAAGAGTAATAGTTTGATAGAAATGCAGATATACTAATATCAACAGTCTAATACCAAGATGGTCAACTGCTATTTCTTAAGTGTCTACTACATTATCATTATCATATTAGGTAATGGGGAGATCAAACCAAGTGAAAGGCATGTGTGCTACTTCATGTGCCTTGAGAGCTAACACTACATATTTCCTGAACTGCCATTTCTCAGAACAACTCAATTGAGGTAAGTATGTTGTTAGACACATTTTACAGCTCTAGAAGTGGAGTCTTAGGGTGGTGAGGTACCCAGCATGTACAACAAGGAGCTGGTAGTCTGGGCAGTGTTACCCCAGAGACGCATTCCCAACTACCATTACCATTGTCGTGGGTCCCCTGACGAGTGCTGTCGGCTCTCTCTTAGCCAGTCTTGCACCTCCTTTAATGCTTCATGCAAGCTGGAATTTTCCTTGTCATATTGCATAGTTCTGTGAAAGTTCAAGCTACCAAGTCAGCTAAAAAGCTTTTCTGATGCCATGGACTGGATGTCCAGCCAAGACCTTTTCATTGTGGTGAGCTTTCAGTCTGGACATGGGCAGCCTATTGTTCCCTTAGCCTGGGTCTGATCCTTTGGCAACCTGACAAACTGAGAAAAATCATAGACCAGAAGGAAGAAAAGTGAGCTCTATTCCAGGTCTCACAACCAGTACAACAGGTCTCAATTTCTTCACCTACAAAATAGAAATAATGACAATGTCTCCCTGGTTTGAAAGTATTCTTGAACAAGTATACAAATCACAAACACTAAGGTATTGTTATTAAATTGGGAAGGACTGCCTCAAACTTGATTGATCGTTATGGATAAATGTAAGAAAAATAGTGAATCAAGGACATCTCCATCTCAGAGACAGATAAATCCTCCCATAAAACTGCTATTTGGAATGAGTTCAGGAGTCACTTCCCAGCAGCAGCAGCACTTGGAAACTGTTAGAGAATGGAAATTCTTGGGCCCCTGATACACTGAATCAGAAACTCTGGGGGATGGGGCCCAGCCATCAGTATTTAGCAGTCTCCTTCCCCCTCAGTGATCCTGATGCATGCTCAAATTTGAGACCCACTGGGCTAAGTTTTTAAGATTACTGGGCGTTCTTCTTCTGGGTGTGGGTTTGAGCTTCTGAGACTTCCCAATTCTTGGAAATAACACCATGCTTATGTTCATTTTTCCTCTCTACTTTTCCTCATTTTCCTTTTTATCTATAGTTTGGGTGTGTGTGTGTGTGTGTGTGTGTGTGTGTTTTAATTAAAAATGTTACTTTAAAACACTGGAAATGAATGCATATAACATATTAGTTATTTTCTAAAAATAATAGGCAGATGGGTATTTTCCTTTTATTTTACAAACTCTTTATATTGTTGCTACATTTATAAGAATTAAGGCGAAAAATATATAATCAGAAAGATTCTCATCCACAAATGGTTAACAATTTAAACAATATATTTTGTCATTATAAAAGATGATTTGCCGTGGTTTATTTTCTGTAAGGTTACGATAGTTGTCATTTTACTGACGGTCTAGGAAATATCTAACACTGGCTGTGGACTTTGGATGATTTCAGCAGGACTGGCAGTGCAGGTCCCTCAAAGCATCACTCTGGGTCCACTGCTCTTCTCTGAAGCCAATACGACTGCCCTTATGGGCTCAATTATCGATGGGTGGAAAGTGGGTAGAAATGCATTAGAAAACAGGAAGAAGATATGAGGGGATTGTAAGAGAGGTGAAATAAAGAGGAAGAAAAGGCCACTCAAAAATAAGAGGAAGGGCAGTAAAAAAGTAGCAAATGAATAATAAATGGTGAATATTTGGCATACTGCTTCTAAGTTTAAAGAAATAAAATGTCACCACAAAATGGATACTGAACTATAGTTCTCAGATCCAAGAATTTCTTAACATGGCTTCTCTAAGAACAATATTTGTTATGGAGTTTAATATCAAGTTTTTCTTGCAAAGATTTGGCAGGGTGTGGAGAAAAAGATCCAGTGGCAGAAACAGAAATGAGCAAGTCAGCCATAGACTTCCCAGTTTTTTATGGGAGCAATATATACCAACATATTTGAGTGATATAAGGACATATATTTCAGTTTAATATTTATTAGGCTTGCCAATGCCTGCAGTTACTGCTAAAGGAATCTCTAAGAATACCTTAGCCACTTACATACAAACTGCTTAGATTTAGAGCAAATCATTTAAAATGACTGCTTTTTGGAGTATCACTTAGCTGTAGATGTTTCTACAATTTACTTGTGGCTTCTTTTCTAATTAAAGATCTCAGAAATCTCAATCATGAATTTGTACCATGCGTATAAAACATGGGAGGCTGAACTTAGGATCCTCATGTCTCAGAACCTGCATTCTTAAATTTACGAAAAATTTATATTCCTTTTTCTCCTCGATGTTTTGAAATCAGTCTATTTCTATCCTGTTTTTCCCCTAACTTTTCTATTCTCTTTCTAACCTTTCTCTGTTTTACTTTCTTGCTTTTGTTTATCCATTCATCACCTCCAAATCTTTCTGACCCGCTCTTACATAATTTATTCTTTTCTCTTTTCCCTATATTTCATATTTATTACATTATATGATATTTGACGTGGTCATAGGATTACTTATCATCGAACCAGGCACAGAGTAAGCAGGATAACTACTTACAACTATACTAGGAAAACAGTAACATGTAAATTGGAGCTATCCTGGATAGATGGGGAAATATGGCAATGGGTACAATGGAGGAAAGGTAGAATTTAGTTTCATTTCTTTATCTACCACTTTTTAGCTGTGTGACCCATGAAGAAGTGATTCAACTGCTTTAGGGTCAAGTATTTTTTATCTGTCAATTAAAAGAGTTGACGTCAAATGTCCAAGCTCCATGTTAGTTGTTATTATTATGATTTAATGTTTTCTTACTGGAGATATCAGATCGTCTCTTCTACTTATGTTGCATTTTAGGACTGTCCTCATCAGCAGATAAATTCATGGATTTTTAAAGGGATAATATCAATAATGCTTGTTTAAGTAGCAATTCAATTTACTTACTGTTTTTGGCTGTTGCTCTTTGCTAGCTCTCTCTCTCAGACAATATTGACAGGGTTTGAGACAAACTCAGCAACCTTTCACCTAATCGAAGTGCATTTGCTCAGGCTGCTCACTGGCCCCTTAGAACCTGCTTTAGGTAATGCTTGAGATGGGGGTTAGACTTCTCCAAAACCAGCTTTTTAAGTGGATTCTGCAATAGTTTTGTTTATTTGTTGATTTTCTAAAACACATATAAAAGGCCTATCTGAGCAAAAGCACATGTCATATTTTGTGTTTATAATGTTCATGTCCACAGCCTTTAATCAAATATTTAGGGTATATGGGGAAAGCAGTACATATATATACTAATAAATGCAGGGACCACATATTTCTTGCCTCTGAGTAACTAAAAGTCTGGAATACCTATAGATAGTATTTAGCATGTTTCTGTAGGTATTCTCACTATCTACTAAAAAATTTTTCAGTTACATGAGATTTCATATAGGTTTTTATGGGCATGTGTTCCATAATTAATAGTCTGTTTCCGGACCAGATAGTTGAGGAAGTCAATAAATAAATATTAAGCAATAAATTTTGATGATGATGGTGACATTAAAAGGAAATAAACGTCTTATCTTCCCCTGTGTTTATCTTTGGAAAACTGATCCTATTTTTTATGCCCTAAAATCATAATTTTACCCTAGAACACTAAAAACTAGACAACCAATATGAATATTATGTTGTGATGCTATTAAAAATGCAGCCTTCATAGGCTGAAGAAGAAAACATCTATATTCTATCATTATACACAAAGATCATCAAAAATAAAATCACCTCATGAACAATTATTAAAAGATAATTAAATCTGTCAGAATATAAATAAGCAGTACTGCCACTTCTCAGGCTAACTCATAATTTCTTTGTGGTTTAATATGCTAAATGCTGCCATGATATATTGGCTTTATAAGAAATACTCTTTAATGGGTATGCTTGTTAGACATACTCATATAGGAAAGACATTTTATAAATTCACTCATTCTTGATTCTGTGATCAAAAATCTGAGTAACATCAATAACAAAGCATTGTATTAAATAATATAAAATTAGACCTTTAAAATATTTTCTTAATGTATAAAATCGAATGACTCATTATTATGATCAGTAATAGTAAATGAATTTTGAATCTTGACAAGGAATTTGGCACTAAATTAAGAACTCTACAAATGTATACATGACTTATTCCCTAGTGAATTGGAATTTAAATAGAAGGAACCTAAACGGAGGCATTTTAAAGCCATCAGAAGGCCCCTTGTAACCAATTATGTATAATTTTGTCTGAAACATTCTAAAGGAATGTTCTGGGAATTATCAACAGCTTAGATTGCTATCTCATTGTTTCTTATCAAGCACAAATAAAAAATGGACACAAACAAATAAAACAACTCTCATTTAAAATTACTTTTTTACATCATTTTATTTTAATTAATTAATTAATGAATTTTTTTTTTGAGACAAGGTCTGTCTGTCACAAAGGCTGGAGTGCAGTGGTGAGATCACGTCTCACTGCACCCTCAACCTCCTGGGCTCAAGTGATTCTTCCACCTCGGCTCGCCAAGTAGCTGGGACCACAGCCACCTGCCACCAAACCAGGATAATTTTTTGACTTTTTGTAGAGAGGAGGTCTCCCTATTTGCCCACGCTATACATCATTTGAAATATATAGAATAACTCTCCTCTTCATATTATAATGTACAAACAAAATTAAGAATTTTTAGGAAATTCAGAATTGGTCAGGCGTGGTGGAGGAAATTTAGAATTTAGAATTTTTAGGACTGCTTTTAAATGTAGGTTATATAAAAATGAGTTTAGACTCTTGTGCTCATATGCACACAACTAAATGAATACAAACCTCCTAGTTACAGGTTTTATAATTTGAAACAAGAGTTTTTAAAATAAGATTTCTAGCACTAGGGTTTATATGGGTAGGAAATCGATCATTACGTCAGTTTCAACTAAATGCATTTGAAATTGTTTTTAATTGAGCCAGCAAAACAATATTTTAAGATTCCATTTCATTAAAATTTTAAATCTCTTTAAAAGTTCAAAATTTCAACAGCTGTCAGTTAAACATTTCATTAACGTTGGATCTAAAAATACAACCGCAAAACATCTACATGACAGCTTTGGTGCCATCACAAATATGTAAAAAGTTTTCTACATATTGCAAAAACACTAAGCTCACCACTGCATCCCATGTGTCATTCTAAAGTAGTTAATGAACAACAAGAATCAGGCAACTCACACATATTTTAAAAAGTCACCAGACTCTGAGAAGGCATAGGAAGATTTTTAAATATGTGTCAATTCTGATTTTGTACTACATACAATGAAAAGTTTTATGATCATCGATTTACTGTGGTACCTAGTTATACTAAGTCATAATAAAAATAAAAATAATATATTAATGGTTTTTAGCAGCAGAAACTTCTGTTCTCTCCAATGCACTTCATGCAGTCAATCCTCATCTCCGTTGGCTGAGTCTTTTCAGGTATCTTCCAAGATCCTTACGAAAGTTTACTATTTGTCCCCATCCTACGTCAAAACATGACCTCATCAGAATTCAGTTCATTGGTATATAAGTAACAAAGTGTGTTCCAGCCAAAAGGGCTGTGTCTACACAGCTCAAAAAAGGGAAAATACAATATCTTCCAATTAATTTAGCAAATATTGACCTCTAAGCTCATTAAATTGAGTTTCCAAATTGGTTTTGTGATGCAGGATATAGCCCAATAATTCATCCTAATAGGTTTTTAAATTATAATGATCTTTGAAGGTGTTTTTTAAGCTTTTAAAACTAAATAATTCTCATTTACAACTTCTTTGGCTCAGGAATTTGTTCATCCTGAAAACACATAAAATCATTTAATCAACTTTCTTTATAGGCATGGAATCTTAGCTAGAAACTACTGCTGTAGACTTCAAAAATATCTACATAATTTGTAGCTTTCTTTTATGAAGAACAAAAGATTTTAAAACTTTTATATAAGTATCAAAGCTTTCCATTGACTCAGAATGAAATAAATATACATGAGTAAAATACATAACAATATGGGCACTATTGTCCTAAGAATGAGGGAAGCTGGGTATAAAAAGTCTCAGGTTTTACATTGTTCTAAATACTACAAAATTACCAGCTCCACGTCTCTCTCACAGATCCTCCCTTTCAACCTGGTCTCCAAATTCCCATCATTACAGTTACCAGTATAAAGTTCCCCAAGGTTGTTTCCATTTCAAATGTGATCATGTTTTTGTGAAGTATTATGGTAGTGAGGGCAGTGTAGAGGTGGCAGAGTTCCTGGGTGAGTACTAACAAAGTTAAGAGGAAACGAGCAGCTACGAAAAACTAAGCTTCTCTCTTCCATAATTTTCACAGAAAGCAATGGTAGTGCCATGAGCAATTACATAAAAGACTGGAATTCTCATCAGTGTTGGGCAAATGACAGTTGAGGATAATGTGCCTACAGCTGAGGATAATGTGACCTTTGAATAATCTCTTATACCTCGTTAACTTTAGCAGGTACACAGATACATTTAGATCTGGATGATGAAGTGTAATCCTAAAAATACAGAACCTGGAAAGCAAGGGAAGTGGTGACATTGTGCACTTCTTCAAAAAGGAACTGCTATCTAAAAATTGTAGAAAAACCTCACATACACAGCTGCCAGTCATCACTCTCAGAGGTTAGTAATAACTGCACACCTCAAAGTAAGTCTTAGTGAGCACAGTACTGCAAATACTGAGAGAATACTGACCATATAAATGTCATGGGAAATAGAATGTAGATCTGAGATGGACTTCTAACAGTGTACATTCTCAGTAGGCAATTGTTTAAAAAACAGGGCCCCTACTGCTGAGAAGCAAACAGAAAAGAACAAGAGCAAAACAAAGAGGGAGAAGCAGACTGCGGGGAGGAGGAGGGGGCAGAAGGAGGAGGAAGATAGCAACTGAAAAGAGGCCAAGGAGTAGTGTTCTTTAGTGGTAATGAACATCTGCGAAGAGACCAGCAGCATGGCCCCTGAGAATGGGAGCAATGACTTGAAGGATAAGCATTACAATAGGGAAAAACAACACCAGATAGGCTAAGTGAACAATCTGAGCATATCCAAAGAGAGAAATTCCAGCCTTACATATCTCAGGGGCACCTAAATTATGTACTGTGCCAAATGAAGCTGTCATTCAAACAATTATCCATTGAGAATCCACCTTACACCAGGCAAGTAGAAATAAGGCTCAGCTTCAGATCCCAAAGCAGGTACCCTCAAGATAGGCTGGGAAGCAATATAAAAGAACAGGGTGGCAAGTGCATATAGGCATACTCAGGATACTATTGGAAAAAGAAGAGGGGCACTCCAGCATGCAGTCGGAATGGTGCCCACTAAAACTGTGCAGAGTGGCAGGCTTGGCAGGCACCTAACCCAGCCTGGCTGGCAGGATATAGAAACGGTTTCAGAAAGGTGATCGTTCAGCTGGGCTGAAAGACAAACAGGAGATAGAGAAGAGGGGAAAGGATATTGCTGCTTAATCATATGAACTGTGAGGGAGCTTGGCCTGCTTGTGTGACTACATGGAGCTCGTGTAGTTGGAGAGTGGGGTGATCATAGTAGAGTGGCTGGAGGTGAGATTGGACAGGGAGTCAGGGGCAAGACAAAAAGGCCTTGAACATAAAATTAATGAGAACTTTTCCTAGTGCAATCAGGCATTCCAACCAGTGCCACATCACTGCAGGTTACTTACTTTATCTTTACATACCTCATAAGAAGATATAACTGTGTACAAAGTACACAGTACAAAGAGGGATCTTCTCAATCTGACATGCATACTCTGTTTACTAGGGAAGATGCATGTAGAACACACTTTTAAAGACTTCCAATTTTTTATAGAGATAAAATATAAAGATTTCAAAATACAATGGGTTAGCCTTTAGCTATTGGATTCTCACTCATTCTTTAGTAAGGGCAGATTAACATAGCTATTGTTATAAATTCAGTGATCAGTGTAATCATTTCTACATTTAATATTAATACATTTTCATAATTGGTTATATCAAAAGATTGTCAAGCCACATACTTTAAAATGGTACTGGAAAAATGGCATGGGATTTGATAGCAGAATCCAGCTCATTGTCTGCATGTGTAACTACTAGAATGCAAGCTCCAGGAGGGTAGAAACTATGTTTACTACTATGTCCTCTGACACACTGTAGAAGCTCAGGGATGCTATGTATGCCTCTGTGGCTTTGCACTGCACACTGCAGGATAAATGGAAGCCTCCAGAATTGCACAGTATACAACCTGCACAACCGTATGCTGCAGACTTCTAGATATTGTTCAGTACACAACCTGTAAAACTATATGCTGCAAACTTCTAGATATTAGACATCACACACACACACACAACTCATTGAATAAATCATCACATTTCATACAACTGTAAAAAAATCATTTGATTCTCAAACTATTAATGAAGCATCTAAAACATTTTGACCCCGTGCTAATGTTACAAAAGTGTAAACTTCCTGAGGACAAGGACCATATTTTATTAGTCTTTATACTCCTGGATTTATTGGTCCTTCTAATCTTGAGTTTTCGTGAGTGTTCAATGAATGAATAAGGAGATTGGCGTTTCTGTAGTTCTAAACATAGCTGTATATGAGAGTGAACTAGAGGTAACTGGAGTTGTCTGAAGTAGTTACTAAGGGAACTCAGTTACTCCATTATTGGAGTTGATTGGTGTGACCTTTTCTCTCTTGTCGGTGCCTCAATCTGAACTTGTCAAGGGCAAATCTTCCAAATATGTGCTGCTTATTTGAAGAGAATAACGTACTCTGATAGAAAAGGACCATTTTTGGCCAAGAGCATATGACTATCTATACTTTCTTGCAAGTATTTCCACACAAGTTCTCGAAGTCCATTTGTAGGAGAACATAAAGCATATGTGCTTTTGATTTTCACCGTCATTTCCTGCTAAATTTCTCTACCCTGGCACACTGGAGATTATTTGAAATTGTACTATCACCAATGACGGAGCCAAAACAACAATTAGAGATATAAAATGTAGCCAAAAAAAAAAAAAAAAAAAAAAGAAATGTCAAGACTTGAGGTCAAATTACCGATCTCATTTCTTCCTACTTGCTAATTTAAAATTTGCCTAAGAATTGTGCCCGTTGATCCACTCCTGGCATAATTAACCTACCTGTCTTAAAAGGAGAAAATTATGACAGGTAAAACAACGAAACAGCTGTTGCTAGAGGTGAAAAGGTAGAAGAGGGAACAAGACCAGCCTGTCAAATAGAATCAGTTCTAGTGAGGCTTTCTGAATTCTGCTTGTCCTTTCTTGCCAGGCTTATGGAAACTTCCTTTGGTTTGGCTGAGAGACAAAGTTAGTGAAATCCACATATGTTCATTCTTATCTTAGTTGGCAATAGTGATAGCAACAATAAAGTAAGAAGGATCAATGTCGCTAAACTTCAGATAGTATGTTTTAGTGATGAATTAATTCAGAGACAGCCATGCCACCTTTTCATTCTGCTAATGCTGACTAAAATTGTAATACATCAAATTCAACACAAACACACACACATATCTCATCCCCTTCACTGTATAGCCCCCAGCACCTGCCGCCCACCTGCCGTTTTGGAGGCAGCAAGTGAATTTAGAAAAGTTCTCTAAATCTGCACTGCTGGGCCAATGGGTGGGAGTAGACAGTACAGCAGGTGGGGTGCAAAGTGACAGAAAACAAAAGAAGGTCACTTAAATTTCAGGGAGTTCAAGAGCAGGATAAGGTTTATTTCCTCTACATCTGGAAGGGTGTGTTGTTTCTCCATTCCTGAATTTCAAGGAAAGAATTTTTATTCTGTAAAAATGCCATTGCTAAAAATAAACAACAATAACAGAAGTTAATAGGTGGAACTGGCTGTTTGGAAGTGAAGGTGACAGGTATTTTGGAATATAAAACAAAAGGAAATGCACTCAAAAATTACGAAATATGTAAAACAAAACTGATATAAGGAAGAGCAAGTGGTATTTATAAAGCAAACCTCTCCTCAAAATCCACAGGAAATCAGGAAAAGAAAATGATTCATTTAATTTCAGTGCTGGTGTAGTCAAAATCAATTTTTAAAAACTGCAAAAAATGGCAAATTTTCTCTCAGTATATAGTGAATGGCCTAAGGAAACATCTGCCGTTCCTCTCATGGAGGAGAATACAGTAGTCTTCAGTTACGAACCTCTTGACCACAATTTGCATTTTCTAGTGATAGTTTAGGAAGGTCTTTTCAAAATAAGCCTCTCAGCAAGAGCATAAATTTCTGTTCAGGCATATGCATAAACAATATAAATAGCTACTTGCTGGCATCATGTTCAAAACATTCATTCAACAATGTTTTAGGAGCAAGTACATAAAATGGAATCTGTGTCCCTGAATATCTCTCACCATTATAGCATCTAAACAAGGAATGACCTCTTTAAATCTGAATCTCAGCATTTGGTGTCACACTAATGTGATGAGATACTCAACTTTGCTAATTAAAATGCAACTGACTTGACGAGAGTAATGTCCACATTGTATTATTAATCCTTGTATCTCCAGCACATATGCTGAAAAAATTTCTTCATAACTGTTTTGCAAGTTATATCTGTTAATTGTAACATTTTAACATATCCTATTCCTTCATTTACATATTGGGGGGAAAATGAGAGTATCAGAAGGATGGAATATCCCATTGTTTTTGCTCTTTGGTGTTAGCATATTTAAATTCTGGAAATGCATTTATATAGAACATTCTGAGTTATTGTTCTTGTACTGAAACATCAAAAGGCTGTTTTGACTCTCTTGGTTTTCTTAAGATATAAGCATTGGATAGACAAGAATTTCTATGACACAAAATAGGCCATGTGGGATGAGGTAAATTTGCTTTCATATCTGCCCATTCCTTCCTTTGTCTCAACCTTTTTGTCTTTTCTCTTTTTAGAACACTCTGGTATCCAGGACATTCTAGCTATGCATGCATCTACACTTTCAGGATTTCTGGTCAGACCCAAGTGTTAGCTCCTTCCTGATCCTCTCCCATTGAAACCATCATTTTCTTTGCCTTTAGTCTTCTGATACTCTCTTGCTTCTCCACTAATGCCTTTGACTTAAAGGTTTATTTTCTATAGTGTACATTTTAGGCATGGGAGAACTATTTTGTCCAAGGAGTCATCCCAGTGATCACTGACACACCATCCACTTTGGCTGCCTCTCATGAGGCACCAGGCTCCACATATCCCGATGTAGCAGCAGAGCTCCTGCCATTCTCTATTTAGTTCTCTTCACATGTTAAACTTTTCAATACCCACAATAGATCTGGCATGAGCTGACTGGCACAGTCCCCACTTTAAGAAGTCCTCATTCTCAGTCGTAAAATGAAGTTGCTTCAAAACACTAGCGTAATTGCCAAATCAAATTCTTTCCAATAATTAAATGCACATGAAAAGCAAATGGATGTTGACCTCTTTTGTGGGCATTCACGATTTTGGAAAATTTCCTGTGCTAGTATTTGCCAAATGCAGCTTTTGATTCTTTTTTTTTTTTTTTTTTTTTTTTTTTTTCACTTTGGAGAATGAGTATTTGAGGAAAGCTTATTTAAATGGAAGACATTAATACAGACTGAAGAGAGAAGAGACAATAACTCTAGAAAATGATGCATTCAGGGAAACGGTGGACAGAAAACGAACTCTTCTATCACCCTCTGCTATGTACAGTGAGAAAGAGCTACTAAAAATTCCTCTAATAAAGCCATAAACAAAGAAAACTAAACTGAAGACCATGTCAATATGCATTTGTCAACAATGCCCATTTGGTCCATATTTGATGAGGCTGAGCAGAACCTTGGGAACTTAAATTCAATGCTCCGTATTGAGGCTTAAGTACAATTCTTAGTACATGCATTGTATTTGCACAGGCAAAATTCCATTTAGAATGAACTTGCCTGGAGGATTTGCAAAGCCTACAATAGGTGCATAGTCTACCTTATTTAAATTTACTCAGTCCATTGACCAATCAATCCCAAGTATTAGGCTCCTGTTTGTAGGAAATTTCCATTTTTCATGATAAAATTATTTTGGCTATTCTTCCTATTTGGAAGGGTAGGGTGAGGAGCGTTAGGGATCGGTGGATTTAGCTAAGACCAAAGTTGAATATGCTGAGCACCTAAATAATGACTGTTCTCCTTGCCAAACTGCTACATACACATAGCTCGTGTATTAATGAAAATCAGAGTTATGAACATTTGCATAATGAAGATTACTAATATTACTGGCTTGTCCTATGTTTCCCTGGAAATATAGGCAGCTACATAAATGAACATTTTCATTAATAAAAGGCCTTATAACTGAACTACAACTTTTTTTTCACTCCCCAGACAAGAAGAATACAAGGGAAAAAGGAGTCTCTGGAAGGGAATTAGAGTGCCCACAAAACCAACTTCAATAACTTCACTATTTTGCCTGGGGCAGGCTGCAGTGGAATGATAATATCAAGGGCACATATGGGGTGATTTTAGACTTGACAGTGAAATCAAATGTGCAGAATAGGCTAAATAATGGCCAATTTTCTCAGAAAGGGAGAGATTTTTTTATTTACTACATACCCCCAGTTATTTAAAATTTATTATACAGTGATTTTACTATAGAAGTTTGTGTGTGTGTGCATGCACCTATAAAAGTAAACAAATCAGATAGTTTACACACACATGCCCCAAATTAATGGCTAATTCTAAACCCAAATATATAAACTTAAAATTTTTTCATTGGATTTATATAGAATTTTTCCTTCTGAAGGGTCAGAGATAGGAAATTTTATATGAACAAACAAAATATCTCATTGCTATTCATTCTTTCTTAGCTTCAAAGCTAAAGAGCTAATGTTATTTTACATTTACAGTATTATTAGTGCACTGCTTTCTTCAAAGAGCTATTTTCTGGAAGACCACCCAGAAGTTTCAACTAATTGAGGAGGCAATCTTCAGTTTACTTAAATAGGAAGGCTACGTGGGACACATTCCTGGCATCAGTACTCCTCTGTCATATCTGTTTGTGCTGGATATAATGCAAAGGACAATGTTAAATTCTGAAAATACCCTAGACTGTTTCCCCCCATCAAACAACCAAAGCAAAAAATAGTTAATTTCTGATACCTTTTTCAGAAAGATTGTTTTATAATCTGGGCTTTGAAAATTCCAGGAAAAATGAGCCACCCAAGGCGATCATAAAAGCCAAAGTTACAGATGTAGAAACAGGTTTTTTAGTAGTGTGATGTATTTCTGAGATTGTTGAAAGTGTAAGATGTTATTTGAAGTGGCACAGAATTAGCTGTTTGGTCACGGGAGAAACATCTGTAAATGGGAACTAAAAGGTTTTATGAACAATTCTTTGAGAAATATGTTGGAATCTAGAATAAGTAAGATTGGGGTAATTTATATGTGGAGATATGTTAATTCTATTTTCACAGATTTCATTGTAACATGCTATGGTTTATTAAATGGGTTTTATATATTTAAAGAGTCACATATTTTTCTTTTCAGATAAGGCCTTTCCATTTTTATCTGCTAATTTATGAATTTGCGCACCCCTGATTTTCTCTTCCTTAGGGAAAAAAATATCTGACATAATTTCAATATTGTTAAAGACATTGAAAACTATTTATATGGTGATTATATATTCAGGCATATTATTATGATCAATTACCAAATCTAGTCCTTTAATACTATCCTGAGTATTTTATTAAAATAAGTCGCATATTTTTATTAGTTTTATATGAATGCATGTGTTATTTTAGAGAAACTAGAAAAATGAAGAAAAGCAAAACTATGAAAATAAAACCACCTAGGACTTCTGTTTCTGATCAAGATGAAGTAAGATGAGCAGTATTTACTCTTCTGTCTCAAACAACTAAAAAGATAATGGACAAAATACAGAAAAAACCAGACACTCAAGATATTGGACATCAGGCAAAGAACAGTAACTTCTGATTATTAGAAAACAAATGAGGTGAGTCATATAATTTATTGCCGAAAGAAAGTTTTCATACAGTACAGGAAGAAGGAACCTACCTAGAGCCTGTTCAAAAACTTGAGCTGAGGCGTTGAGAGCCAAGAGTTCTGAAAATTGACGGTTCCTAGAGGTTGCAAGGCAGAATAATAGAAATGAGAGGAAAGGAGAGAGTGACACAGAGTTAACTTAGGATGTTTAGAGTTTTCTCCTAGAATATTCAGTTAAGGACTGACCAGTGCATATGTGTGAGAAATCTATCCAAGTCTAAGGAAAAAATGATCCTAAAGGATTAGTCTTCACCCAGCACTGGAATAGCACCTGTTTCCAACAGGCAGTCTAAAAAGCCTCATAATTCTTGGAGAAGGTTTAAAATCTTAAGATGAATCTTTACTCGCTAGTGGAGGGAAAAGTAATACTAAACTTAAGACAGCTCTAGGACCACCTAACAAAATTTAAAAGAGTGACCTGAAAGAATCAAACTGTTTCTAAGTACCTTAACCATATCTCTGAACAACGTATAGTAATATTTGTAGGAATAAGTAGTATCCAGCCTTAATTAAACAAGGTAAAATTTAAAACATACGGAATCCAACAGAAAGCTACTGGGCTTACAAAGAAGCAGGGCATACCAATAATAATAGTAATAATAATAATAAAGAGAAAACTTAGTCAATGGGCAGACCCAGAAATTATAAAAATGATAGTAGATACGGATGATAGAAACAGTAGATAAGAACATTAAAATGCTATTATATCTATATTTCAAATGTTCAAGAAGCTAGAAGAATTATTGAATATGTTACATATAGAGGCATGAAAAAGACATTTACAACCAGCCTATATAAAACATTTAGAGATGAAAATGACATTGTCTAAGATAAAAAAAAATTGAATGGGATTAATGGCAGGTTAAACAATTCAGGATAAAAGATGAGTGAAGTTGAAGATGTTGCAATAATCAAAACTGTCCAAAATGAAGCAGGGAGAAGAAAAATGACTGAAAACTAAAAAGGAAAAGAGCATCACTAAACTGTGGGACAACTTAAGTGGCCAAAACATACGTAATTGGAGTCTCCAAAAGAGAGAAGGGGCAGAAAAAAATTTGAAGAAGTAATGACTGAAAACTTTCAAATTTGATAAAAATTACAAACTTACAGACCCAAGAATTTCAGCAAATATTCTAGCACAAGAAACATGCAGAAAATTAAACCAAAACCCTCAATAATGAAACTGCTTAAAACCAGTGGTAAAGAGAAAATCTGAAAGAAAGGAAGAAAAAGACCCATTATTCACAGAGGAATAAAGGTAAAGATGAAGGCTGATTTCTTGTCTGAGACAAAGCAAGCAAGAAGACTGTGGAATGAGATCTTTAAAGTACTGAAAGAAAACTGTCCACCTAGAATTCTTTACTCTGCAAAAATATGTCTCATAGACAAAGGCAAATAAAGACTTTGTTAGACATACAAAGCTAAAATAATTCATCAATAGCCTACACAGAAATAAATATTTAAGAAACTTCTTCATGCAGAAGAAAAATGATAACAGTTGGTAAACTGGATTTATGCAAAGAATGAAGAGCACTGACTATACTAACTATAAGTAAGCACATTTTTCTCATTATGTAAATGTTTTTCAAAGATAATTGAAACCTTAAGGTAAAAATGATATGAATGTACGGTGGGGTTTTATATTTAGAAGCAAAATGCATGACAACTGCATAACAACATTTGTACAAAGACCATGTCTAAGGGTAATAGAAATATGTCATTGGAAGGTTCTTATATTAATACTTTACATGAAGTATAGTAGTCCCCCTTATCTTCAAGGGATACATTCTAAGACACCCAGTGGATGTTTGAAACTGTGGATAGTACCAAATCTTACATATGTTGTGTTTTTTCCTCTGCACACATACCTATGATAAAATTTAATTTATAAATTAGGCACAGTAAGAAATTAACAATAATAAAATGGAGCAATTATAACAATATACTGTCATAAAAGTTATATGAGTATGGCCTCTCTCTCTCAAAATATTTTGTTTTACTATACTCACCTCTTTTCTGACTGTCATTGACTGCTGGTAACTGAAGCCAAAGAAAATAAAATTGCAGATATGAGCAGGACTACTGTAGTAAAATATCACCTGAAAATAGACTGTGAAAAGTTAAGGTATATACTATAAAACCTAAAGCAGCCAGTAGAAATGTAAACAAAGACTCATAACTAATAAACCGACAAAGGAGACAGAATGGAATTTTTGGAAAATATTCAAATTATTTCAAAAGAAGATAGAAAAAGAAGAGGGAAGAGAATGAAGAACAGAAGAGGCAAATAGAAAAATTAGCAAGATAGTGGATTCAGAGCCAAGCATATCAATATTTTAATTAAGGGTAAATCATCTATAAACCTCCATTGAAAGGCAGAGATTGTCAGGTTGGATTTAAAAGAACCACTATATGTTTTTTAAGATAATCTAAATAAGAAAGACAAGAATATATGACAAGTAAAAGGATGGGAAAATACATAATATGCTAACACTAACCAAAAGGGAGATAGAGACACTATATTAAAATCAGACAAAATAGATTTCAGGATAAAAAATATCAGCAGGGGAAAAGAGAGCAATTTCATAATGATAAAGTGTCCAATTATCAGGAGAACATTACAACATTAAAAATGTATGCTTCTAATAACAGAGGTTCAAAAATACCTGAAGCAAAATGATATAGAATTGTAAAATATTAGAGCATCCCTTTATCAACAATTGATGGAACAAGTAAGCAGAAAAATCAGAAAATATATAGAAGACTTGAATACTGTAAACCAACCTCACCTAATTAATATTTATAAAATGTTCTACTCAACAAGAGCAAGTACACATTCTTTTCAAATGCATACCAACCACTTACCAAGATAAACTATATTCTGGGTCATAAGACAATTCTCAAGAAATGTAAAAGGATTTACGTGAGGCAAAATATATTCCCTAAGTATAGAATTAAGGTAGAAATCAAAAACAAAAAGATATGTGGAATACTTCTATCTATTTGGAAACTAAAGCACAAAATTTTAAATAACCCAAGGGTCAGTGAAAAAATCAAAAGGGCTATTAAAATTATTTTAAACTGAATAAAAATTAAAACATAGCATATCAAAATCTCTGGGATGCAGTGAAGCAATACTTAGTTTAGAAAGTATTCCCCTAAACACGTATTAGAGAAGAAAAGTTTCAAATCAATGACTTCAGATTCCACATTAAGAAACTAGAAAAAGAAGAGAATATGAAACCCAATGTAAGCAGAACAAAAAAATAATAATATCAGAGTAAAATAAGTAAAAACAAAAGATGGTTCTTTGAAAAGATCAATATAATTCATAAATCTCTATACAAGCTAATCTGATAAAATATAAAAGATATGAATTATCAATATAATGAATGAAGTAGATAATATCTATCAATTCTATAGAAATAAACAATAAGAAAATATTATGAAACTTTGTTTTAATAAATTCAGTGAGTTAAATGAAATGGTGAAATTCTTTGAAAGATAAAAATTGCCACCACTCACACAAGAAACAAATAGCCTGAATGCCCTATATCTATTTTTTAAAAATCAAATTTTTAGTTTAAAAATTCCCATGAATAACAACAAAAATGAACAAAAAAATAAACAAAACCAATTCCAGGCCTGGGTGACTTCACGGAATTTCACCAAACATTTAAAGAAGAAATAATATCAACTTTACACAAACTCTTAGATTAAATTGAAGAGGAGAGAATATTTCCCAATTTATTCTATGAGGCTAGCATTATTTCAATACCAAAATCAGACAAAAACATTTCAAGAAAAGTAGATTACAAATCAATTACCCTTCACAAACATAAACGTAAAAATTTTAACAAAATTTTAGCAAATCTAATCCAAAAAGATATAAAATGGATTAATACAAAATGGGGTTTATCCCAGAAATTTAAGGTTTTCTTTATATTAGAAAATCAATGTAATTCATTATACATATATTTTTGAAATGGAGTCTCACTCTTGTCACCCAGGCTGGGGTGCAGTGGCGCAATCTCGGCTCACTGCAACTTCTGCCTCCTGGGTTCAAACAATTCTCCTGCCTCAGCCTCCCGAGTAGCTGGGATTACAGGCACATGCCACCACGCCCAGCTAATTTTTGTATTTTTAGTAGAGATGGGGTTTCGCCATGTTGGCCAGGCTGGTCTCGAACTCCTGACCTCAGGAGATCTACCTGCCTCGGCCTCCCAAAGTGCTGGGATTACAGGTGTGAGCCACCACACCCAGCCATAATTCATTACATTAAGAGATAGAAAGACAGACACAACAATCAATCGATTGCTCAACAGATAAAACAGATAGATCACTAAATAGATTTATATATATATACATATTTAGTGTATCTATTTTCCTGTATCTATTGAGATGTTTATATAAATATATATAGAGATAAATATATATCTATATAGATATCTATAGATATATATCTATATAGATAAATATATTTATATATAGATAAATATATATCTATATGTATTTATATAAACATCTCAATAGATACAGGAAAAGTATTTCACATAATCCAACATCCACTCCAACTAAAAACTCTTAATAAAGGAATAAAAAGGAACTTCCTCAATCTGATAAAGGGCATCTATGTTCAACCCACAGCTAACATCATACTTAATGGTAAAAGACTAAATTATTTATTCCTAAAACCAGAAAAAAGGCAAGCATTTACGTTTTTACCATTTACTTTAAACATCCTAGTGGAGGTTCCCAGAGAGTGGAATTAAGGCAAGAAAAAGAAATAGAAGTCAAACAGATTGGAAAGGAAGAATTAAAACTTTTTATTTACAGATAACATGACAGTCTACACAGAAAAATCATAAAAAGTCTACAAAAAAGCTACTGTAACATATAAACTAAGTTTAAAAGTTGCTGGATATATGATCCATGTGCAAACATCATTATATTTTTATACACTGGCAATGAATAATCAAAAATTGAAATTTAAAGAATACCATATACCAAAGCATAAAAATATTTAGGGAAAAATAGCCAACAAATATGCAAATTGTACTCTGAAAGTTAAAAAACATGTTCAGATAAATTAAATGAGACATAAATAAATGGCAAGATATGGTATTTTCATAAAACAGGCTCAATATTATTAAGAGATTCAGTCTTCCCAAGCTGACCCATAAATTCAATGCATTCAAATCAAAATTTTAGCCCACATTTGGTAGAAAGGTACAAGGTAATTTTAACATTCATATGTAAATGTAAATTCCCTGGAATAGCCAAAATGTTTTAGAAAAGGAATTTACAAAAGAAAGAACAAAGTTGAAAGCACAAAGAGTTGTGCTACCTGACTTTAAGATTTATAATAAAGTTATAGTAATTAAGAGAGTATGGTATTTGCAATGTGGTATACAAAAAGATCAGATACAAAATTTTAAAAAGAATTTCATTCATATGGCCAAACTGCTCTTCAGAAAAGTTCTCAAGTTTTATTTCTACCAATAGATTGAATAAAGAAAATACTCTTGCCTGTGTATAATTTTAAATATATACATTTGATAGACAAAAATTTGGTAGGCTTATGTTTGTATTAATTTTCTTTGCTCTAATTACAAATGACATAAAAAAATTTTGTCCATGCTCATCAGTCACTTACATTTCTCCTTTTGTGAATTGCCATATTTTAACTGTTGCCTATTAGTTGTTACTGAGTTTTGAAACATTAAAAAACTAATGTAATTTGTATATCATAAAATGCACTCTTTAAGCATACAGTGCAGTGGTTTTTAGTACATTCCTCAAGTTGTGCAACCATTACCACTACCTGTTTCCAGAACATTTCCATCACCCGTAAAAGAAACTGTGTACCTATGAGCTGTTATTCCCTATTCCCTCCCCCACCAGGATTCCTGGCAAACACTAATCTACTTTCTGTCTCTATGGATGCCATTCTAAATGATTCTAAATGATTCAATGAATTCAATGACTTCAATGAATTTAATGATTCAATGAATATTCAATGAATATTCTAGATGATTCAATGAGTCTATTCTAGATGATTCAACAAATCATCTAGAATAGGCAAATTCATAGAGACAGATGTATTGACTGATGTAAATTGAATCATATAATTTGTGGTCCTTTTATGCCTGGCTTCTTTCACTTAGCGTAATGTTTTCAATGTTCATTCTGTAGCAAGTATCAGTACTTCATTCTTTTTATGTGTGAATACTATTCCATTCCACCTATATAGATACCACATTTTATTTATCTGTTCATCAGTTGATGGACAATTGAGTTATTTCCACTTTTGGGCTTTAATGAATAATGCTGCTATTAACACCCATGCACAAGTTTTTGTATGAACATATTTTTTGAATTCTGGGCCTTATCTACCAAGCGATGGAATATGGTAACTATATGTTGAGCTCTTTGAGAAACTGCCAAACTGTATTCCAAAGCACGGCACTGTTTTATGTTCATGCAACCATGCATGAGGGTTCCAATTTCTCCACTCTCCACATCCTCACTGACACTTATTATTGTATGCCTTTTTCATTATAGCCATCCTAGTGGGTATGAAGTGATATCTCATTAGGGGTATAACTCGTATTTTCCTAATGACTAATGATGTTGACTGTCTCTTGATGTGCTAATTGGCCATTTGTACATCTCTTTGGGAGAAATGTCTATTCCGATCTTTTGTCCATTTTTTAATTGGGCTGTTTATTTTTTAATTGTTGAATTAGAATTTTTTATATATTCTGGATATATACTAGCATAAGATTTGCAAATATTTTTCTCCCAATCTTTTGGGATGTCTTTTTATTTTCTTGATATTGTCCTTTGAAGTACTAATGAGGCCTCATTTATTAATATCACTTTGGTTGCGTGGCTTTTGGTATCACATCTAGGAAACCACTGCTTAATCAAAGGTCATTAATATTTACACCTATGTTGTCTTCAAAAGTTTTATAGTTTTAGTTCTTATATTTAGTCTTCAATCTATTTTGAAAGAATTTTTGTTTATGATGTGAGGTAGAGTCCAACTTCATTCTATGTCTGTGTCTGTCTACTTCTCCCAGCATCTCAGTTTTCCACTGAGAAGTCTGCTGCCAGACATACTGGAGCTCCATTGTATGTTATTTTTTTCTTTTTCTTTTCCTGCTTTGTAAGGAGTATACTTTCCTCACTGAATTTTCTTGGTACTCTTGTCAAAAATCTGCTATCGATTTTTAAAAACTCTTTGCATATTAAAGATACTGCTTCTTTTTCTGTGACATATGTTAAAAAATTTCCCTGTATTTTGATTTTTGGTTTTTATGTCTAGAATTAATGAGAATTTATGAAACTAAATCTATCAGTGTTTTCTTTAATGAATTCTTCTGCCATTATTATTATAAGAAATCCACCTATAGTTCCCCTAGTAGTAGTTCATGAAAATAATATAAATAGCTGCCAATTGTTCATTACTTTCTATGGTGCTTTACATATATTATCTTGGCAGTATCTTGGCTACAAACACTATGAGGCAAATATTGTCAAAAATTCTATTTTATAATGGATAATGAAACTCAGGGCTTAAGTAATTTGCACAAGGTGCAGAACTGATACACAGTAAAAATCTTAATTGGAATTTAAATTCAGGCCTACTTGACCCCATAGTATAATCTCTAAAATAAGTGAAATGAATTTGAACTTCATCAGCATGGATATAGAAGGTTTCTCCAAAATTTTTCGAATACGGTATCGTATACATGATACTCAATTCTATTTAAAGAGCAGCATCTCTTGATTAAGTAGAAGTATAATATTTTTAGCAGAGAATATGCTATTTTAAATTTTTAAAAAACTTGTTAAATATGTTTTTAATTCCCATTTAGTATATAAGATATTTAACATCAAATTCACTGTTGTGTATAAATTATTAACCACTGGTGAAAAAAAGGTGCTAAGGCAGTAAAAAGTGAGCTTTGTCATTCAAAGAGTACATAAAAGGAAGAGGCTTTGAAAATGTAAATAGACAAACATAAAATATTAAATGCAGTGTACTTTACCATCAAACAACTATTGAAGGAGATTATTTTTCTCAAATGTGTCCAGAATGTTTGTTAAAACTATATAGTGACTCCACTTTGTTAGGGCAATGTACATAGTGGCTGCTCACCCTGAATGACGCCTTCCAGCAAAGGTGTCCTTAAGAAGGAAATGTACAGTTCAGATTGTAAATCACCACGGCCTAGGATGCTACTGTTTTACTTCTAGCAGAAATCTTGCGGGCTAGTTAGAAAGCTGCTCTGCTACTGAGAGATCTTTAATCAAAAGGTATAAATGTTCCCCAGAGCATGAATATAATTATGTTAAGATCTAAACTCCACAGTCAATATACTATAAGGCATTTTATGTATGCTTACATGTTTTTCCAATTGTGTATCAGAGCCCAGATGATAAAAAAGGTTTTACCACCCATTCAGATCTAATTTTCCTGTCCTGCTCACCAATATGCCAAAAATTCAGATTTGTGATTCACGGGAACATTCTGCTACATAAATGAAATGTGTAAACAAATAAATACCTGATTTCTGATATACTGAATATTAAATCAATCATGTTCCATAGTTTCTGATAATAAGCTTAACAACCAATTATACTATTGATAACAATAGGAGCATGAAGCAAACAACACTTCTATTTTAACATTAAAAGCAGAGTACCAAAATGCTTCCTGCTGGTAAACTGAAACAATTGTTTTATTTAAAAACTACACCTTCACACCTGTAATCTCAGCACTGTGGGAGGCCAAGGTGGTTGGATCATGAGGTCAAGAGATGGAGACCATCCTGGCCAACATGGTGAAAACCCGTCTCTACTAAAAATACAAAAATTAGCTGGGCATGGTGGCTCATGCCTGTAGTCCCAGTTACTTGGGAGGCTGAGGCAGGAGAATCACTTTAACCCAGGAGGCGGAGGTTACAGTGAGCTGAGATTGCGCCACTGCACTGTAGCCTGGGTGACAGAGTGAGACTCCATCTCAAAAAAAAAAAAAAAAAAAAGACAACCACCACCACCACCACAACAAAAATTACATGTATCTACTCTGATACTGCATACAAATAAAGACTTTTCTTTTTAAAAGAGAAAAGAATGGATTTCCAATTATTGCCAATGTGTCATGCCTGAAGGACCCTTTTCCCACCCATCAGTTTGAGGTGACAGTTACTGGCTTATAGCAATATCCATCATGATTCAAAATTTAGAATATTATTATGCAGAAGTCACATACTGTTCACCTCTCATCCTCACCATGGACACTGTCATCTGGTGCAGGCAAGGAGGAATAGAGAAAGGAGAAAATTTTGCAAATGAGGAGAAAAAATTGCCAAGAATACATAGTAATATAAATTAAGGTCACATTTTGTTTTATACCAATTACAGTAAATTGGTATTTTCCTTTAAATGTTTATGTCTCAAACTCTCCTTTCAAACTTTTTTTTTTTTTTTTTACTTTTAGGCAGCTAATGCACTACCATTCATAATGACTATTAGACTAAGCTAGGTTTCAATTTTTGCTATGATCTATCAGTTTAAGGGTGCAGATAGTCAACGATGGCACAAGGCTCCTCTCATTCTGCTCTCTGAAAATTAATTTGAAAGAGTAACCATATGTAATGAAATAAGGACACAGTAAAAGAGTGCAGATGATTAATGCCTTCTATTTTCAAAATAAAGTTTTTCAACTCTGCATTAACATTTATTTTCCTTATCTCTGGTGCACTAGCTATTAGTTTAATAAAAGGAGACCTTCCCAGTGACAAGGACATTATCTTATTAATTTCTGTAATTCTGTTACACTATCAGTCAAGAGGTTTACTTTCAAGTGATGTTAATATAAATGAGAGTTTTCCTTTTAGTCTTATAGTTCCAAGGCTCAAAGCCTGTATATGGATTGTAAAGCTAATACTAGACTAATTGCAATGTGACTTGAGAGCTAGAATAGAACCATCTGCAAAATTTGGAACGATGTGACAAAAATAACAAAATTTTGCAGGAAAAACATAATGCTTTGCATTTAGAAATAGACGTCCCAAATATGGAAAAGCTATTAAACTTATTTCGTGTAGCTTCACAAGGCAAAACTGGACCAAGTGGGTGGAAGTCAAGAAATCAAATTTTGCACACTGTCAGGAAGAATTTCCTAATAAGTCATCTAAAAGTGAAATGAATTGCCCTGTGAAGTACACAGTGCTTTCTGCTACCGCAGGTGTTTAGGCAGATCAACAAACATCTGCCTATTGTATTACACAGGGGATTTGAGAGTAGGTGGGTGTTTGGAACACATTTGGTCCTTTGATCTCTACAGTTTCAAATCTGACCTTTCAGCTCAGAATTTTGAAGGATGTAAAGATGGATAAAACAACTCATTAACAAAGACACTATAAATAAATAAAAGACATTTTAACAGTTGATTATATTCAACACATGAAAAAGTATATGAGGCGGGGCACGGTGACTCACGCCAGTAATCCCAGCACTTTGGGAGGCCGAGGCGGGTGGATCACCTGAGGTCAGGAGATCAGGACCAGCCTGGCCAACACGGTGAAACCCCGTCTCTACTAAAAGTACAAAAAATTAGCCAGATGCAGTGGTCCCAGCTGCTTGGGAGGCTGAGGCAGGAGAATTGCTTGAACCCGGGAGACGGAGGTTGCGGTGAGCCGAGATCGCTCCACTGCTCTCCACCTTGGGCGACAGAGCGAGACTTCGACAAAAACACACACACACACACACACACACACACACAAAATCTATATGAAGTAATCGAGGTACGAATAAAATATTAAGAGAGAAATGAGAAAGAAGTGACTAATTCCAGCTAGTGGCACAATGCAAGGTTACCGGGAGGAAGTGTTACATGAATGATGCAAGCATGAGCCATGTTTCAGGTGGGAGGGATAAAATGATAAGGGATTCCTGCTTGAGAGAAGTGTGTAAGCTCAGAATTAGAGGAGTAGAACTGCATAAATGTTTGGGAAGAGAAGTTAGATATCCTGAGAGATTTTAATGATTGAAATCTTTGTGATAAATTTGGCTTTTACTTTGGCCTGCCTTTCATGGCTTAAAAAAATAGATATAACATTGTCAAATATCCGGTATAAATTATAAACTTTTCAGTCATCATTTTTCTTTTTATAACTTAAAATCACATTAGATAGTGATAAAGATGGATATGAACATCTCAAACTGCTTCCAGAATTTTGTCTTGTTAGCAATAAGACTGTAGAGCATCTACAAAAGACGCAGGAACTGAGTCCCCACTAAAATTTATCTCAGCACAGCATCTTCAGGGAGCTAGGCACACTGATAATCCCTCTAGGCTTGAAGGGTTTGGTCTCTCAGAGAAATAAGGCCATGAAGATAAGGGTTACTCAGAACATAGTCAAGCCAACCCACTGATTTTTGGCATTTCTTAAAGTGGAAAGAAAAGGAAATTTTCCAACTAGCTGATTTTCTTACTCGTTAGTCTGTCTAGTGTCTTTTGTTTCTGGAAGCTTTCAATATGCCCTCTTTTTTTTTCCCCCAACAGTTTTCCTTTTTTTTTTGAGACAGTCTCGCCCTGTTGCCCAGGCTGGAGTGCAGCGGAGCAATTTCAACTCACTGAAGACTCCGCCTCAACCTCCCAAATAGCTGGGACTACAGGCATGCACTACCACACTTGACTAATTTTTGCATTTTTAGTAGAGATGGGGTTTTGCCATGTTGGCCAGGCTGGTCTTGAACTCTTGACCTCAAGAGATATGCCTGCTTCAGCCTTTCAAAGTGCTGGGATTGCAGGTGTGAACCACCATATCTGGCCTCCAGCAATTTTCTTATGCCATGCCTGGGTGTGGGTGTTTTACTTTTTGGTGTTTATCCTGTTGGGGCATTGCAGTGCTTCCTGAATCTGTGACTTGTTGGACAGCCACAGACATTATTGCTAAAATATTTTTTCTGCCCCATTTGCGTTAACTCCATCTGAGATGCCTATTTCTATATCTCACATGTCTTTTACTACCACTGCCCCCTGCTCCTGGAAGTTTCATTTTTCTCTCCAATTTTAGCCTGGTTACTTTTGTCAGACCTATTTTCGAGTTTACTAATCATCTCCTCAATGTTTCTAAACTTTCCTAAACTCATGTACTGAGTTTTAATTTTAGTCATTACATTGTTTTTAGTTCTAGGATTTCCATTTGAATGTTTTTTTGTAGTTTCCAGTTCTTTTTTAAAATTCTCTACTTTAATATCTAATTTCTGTGCTTGCTTGAGTAGCACACACACTAAAATTGGAATGATTAGCATGGCCCCTGCGCAAGGATGACACACAAATTAGTAAAGTGTTCCATATTTTTCATAAGTATTATCAGCATGATAGACCAAGCTGAGGGAAGAATCTCAGAACTTGAATACTGTCTCTCTGAAATAAGACAGTCAGACTTATGAGGACTTATAAAGAAAAAAGAACGAAGAAGAATGAACAAAACCTCCAAGAAGTATGAGATTATGTAAAAAAACTAAATCTACAAATCACTGGCATTCCTGAAAGGGATGGGGAGAAAGCCAACAACTTGGAAAGCAGATTTCAGGATATCATCCTAGAATCTAGCAGGAGTTCTCTGTATTTCCTGAACTTGTCTGTTGGCCTCTCTGGCAAGTTTTGGGAAAGGCCCAGAGAGGCCATAGTTGACTTCAGGAAATACAGAGAACCCCTGCAAGTTTCTACACAAAAAGAACATCCTAAAGACACATGATCATCAGATTTTCGAAGATTAAAATGAAAAAAAAAGAATGTTAAAGACAACTAGAGAGAAAGGGCAGGTCACCTAGAAAAGGGAAGCCCATCAAACTAACAGCAGACCTGTCAGCAGAAACCTTACAAGCCAAAAGAGACTGGGGGGCCTATATGCAACAGTCTCAAAAAAAAAAAAAAAATCTTCAACCAAGAATTTTATGTCCAGCTGAACTAAGCTTCCTAAGTGAAGAAGAAATAAGATCTTTTTCAGATATGCAAATGTTTAGGGAGTTCGTTACCACCAGACCTGTCTTACAAGAGATCTTGAAAGGAGCACTAAGTATGGCAAGGAAAGACTGCTACTAGTTAATACAAAAGCACACTTAAATATACAGGCAAGTGACACTATAAAGCAACCACACAAACAAGTCAGGATAATAACCAGCTAACAACATGACAGGATCAAATCCACATATATCAATACAAACCTTGAATGTAAATGGGATAAATTTCTCACTTAAAAGGCACAGAGTGACAAACTAGATTAAAAAGCAAGACTCAATGGTATGCTGCCTTCAAGAGAGATACCTCACACATAACAACACCCATAAGCTCAAAATAAAGGGATGGAAGAAAATCTACAAAGCAAATGGAAACCAGAAAAAAGCAGGAGCTGCAATCCTAATTTTGGAACAACAGACTTTAAACTAACAAAGATCAGAAACTAACGAAGAAGGGCATTAAATAATAATAAGGTGTTCAATTCACCAAGAAGATCTGACTATCCTAAATTTATATGCACCCAACATAGGAGCACCCAGATTCATAAAGCAAATTCTTAGAGACCTGCAAAGAGACATAAGACTCCAACATAGTAATAGTGGGACAGTTCAACATTCCACTGACAGTATTAGACAGATCATCAAGGCAGAAAATTAACAAAGATATTTAGGACCTGAACTCAACATTGGAGCAAATGGATCTGATAGACCTCTACAGAACTGTCCATCCGAAAACAACAGAATATACATTTTTTTCTCATCAACAGATGGCACATTCTAAAACTCAGCCAATAATTAGACATAAAACAATGCTCAGCAAATGCAAAAGAAGCAAAATCATACCAAACACACTCTCAGACGATATTGCAATAAATAAAGAAGTCAAGACTAAGAAAATTGCTTGGCCAGGCGCAGTGGCTCACATCTGTAATCCCAGCACTTTGGGAGGCTGAGGCAGCTGGATTACCTGAGGTCAGGAGTTTAAGACCAGCCTGGCCAGCATGGCAAAACCCTGTCTCTGTTAAAAATACAAAAATTAGCTGGGCATGGTGGCATGCACCTGTAATCCCAGCTACTCAGGAGGCTGAGGCAGGAGAACCACTTGAACCTGGGAGGCGGAGATTTCAGTGAGCCGAGATCGCACCATTACACTCCAGCCTGGGTGACAAGAGTGAAACGTCACAAAAAAAAAAAAAAAAAAAAAAGAAAGAAAGAAAATTGCTCAAAACCACGGAATTACATGGAAATTAAACAACGTGCTCATGAATGACTTTTGGGTAAATAATGCATAAGGCAGAAATCATTAAGTTCTTTGAAACTAATAACAACAAAGACATAACATACCAGAATTTCTGGGACACAGCTAAGGCAGTGTTAAGAGGGAAAGTCATAGCACTAATTTCTCACATCAAAAAGTTGGAAAGATTTCAAATTAATGACTAACATCACAACTGAAAGAATTAGGGAAGCAAGAATAAATCAACCCCAAAGCTAGCAGAAGACAAAAAACAATCAAAATCAGAGCTAAATGGAAGGAAACTGAAACACAGAAAAACACTCAAAAGATAAACAAATCCAGGAGTTGGTTTTTTGAAAAAATTAATAAGATCGAAAGACTGCTAACTAGGGTAATAAAGAAGAAAAGAGAGAATATCCAAATAAACATGATTAGAAATGACAAAGAGGATGTTACCACTGACCCCACAGAAATATTAATAAAAACAACCATCAGAAACTACTATGAACACCTCTATGCACACAAACTAGAAAACCTAGAAAAGATGGATAAATTTCTGGAAACATGCACCCTCCTAGAACTAAACCTGGAATAAACTGATTCCCTGAAAAAGACCAAAAATAAGCTCTAAAATTGAATCAGTAATAAATAGCCTACCAATCGAAAAAAAAAAAAAACAAAAGCCCAGGGCCAAATGAATTCACAGTGAAATTCCACCAGTTGTACAAGAAAGAGCTTGTACCATTCCAAAAAATCAAGAAGGAGGGACTCCTCCCCAACTCATTCTATGAGGCCAGCATCATCCTGATACCAAAATATGACAGACACAACAACAACATCAAAAAACTTCAAGCCAATATCCTTGGTGAACATTGATGCAAAAATCCCTAACAAAATACTTGAAAACTGAATCTAGCAGCACATGAAGAGCTAATCCATCATGTTCAAGTAGGCTTTATACCCACGATTTAAGGCTGGTTCAACATACACAAATCAATAAATGTGATTCATCACATAAACAGAACTAAAGACAAAACCCACATGATTATCTCAATAGATGCAGAAAAGGCTTTCAATAAATTTCAACATCGCTTCATGTTAAAAACTCTCAATAAACTAGGTATTGAGGGAACATACCTCAAAATAGTAAGAACCATCTATAACAAACCCACAGTCAACATTATACTGAATGGGCAAAAGCTGGAAGCATTCCCTTTGAAAACCAGCACAAAACAAGGATGCCCTCTCTCACCACTTTTATTTAACATAGTATTGGAAGTCCTAGCCACAGCAATCAGGCAAGAGAAAGAAATACAGGGAATCCAAATAGGAAGAGAGGAAGTCAAATTATCTCTGTTTGCAGATGACATGATTCTATGTCTAGAAAACCCTATAGTTCTGTCTCAAAATCTCCTTCAGCTGATAACTTCAGCAAAGTTTCAGGATGCAAAGTAAACATACAAAAATCACTAGCATTCCTATACACCACCAGGAGCCAAGCCAAGAGCCAAATCAGGAACACAATCCCATTCACAATTGCCACAGAAAGAACAAAGTACCTAGGAATACGGCTAACCAGGGAGGTGAAAGATTCCTATGGTGAGAATTACAAGACACTGCTCAACGAAATCAGAGAATACACAAACAAATGGAAAAATATCCTTCACATGCTTATGGATAGGAAGAATCCATATATCATTAAAATGACCATACTGCCCAAAGCAATTTATAGATTCATTGCTATTCCTATCAAACTACCAGTGACAGTCTTCACAGAACTAGAAAACACTATTTTAAAATTCATATGGAACCACAAAAGAACCCAAATAGCCAAGGCAGTCCTAAGGAAAAGGAAGAAAGCTGGAAGAATCACATTACCCACCTTCAAACTATACTACAGGGCTACAGTAACCAAAACAGCATAGTATTGGTACAAAAACAGGCACATAGTGCAATGGAACAGAATAGAAAGTCCCCAAACAAGACCACTCACCTATGACCGTCTGATCTTTGACAAAACTGATAAAAACAAGCAATGGGGAAAAGACTCCCTATACAATAAGTGGTGCTGGGATTATTGGCTAGCGATATGCAGAAGATTGAAGCTGGATCTCTTCCTTAAGCCATATACAAAAATCAACTCAAGATTAATTAAAAACTTAAATGTAAAACTAAAAACTGTAAAAACCCTGGAAGATAATCGAGGCAATACCATCCTGGAAACAGGAACAGGCAAAGATATCATGACAAAGACACCAAAAGCAATCACGACAAGAGCAAAATTTGACAAATGGGATCCAATTAAACTTAAGAGCTTCTGCACAGCAAAATAAACTGTGAACAGAGTAAACAACCTGCAGAATGGGAGAAAATGTTTGCAAACTATACATCTGTAAGAACTTAAGCAAATTTACAGGAGAAAAAGGAGAATAACAACCAATCCCATTTAAAAGTGGGCAAAGGACGTCAACAGAATTTTCCGAAGAAGGCATACATGCAGCCAACAAGCATATGTTATAAAAGCTCAATATCACTGGTCATTACAGAAATGCAAATCAAAACTACAATGAGACACCATCTCACACAGTCAGAATGGCTATAATTAAGAAGTCAGAAAATAACAGATGCTGGTGTGGTTGTGGAGGAAAGCGAACACTTATACATTGTTGGAGGGAATGTAAGTTAGTTCAAACATTGCGGAAAGCAGTATGGTGACTCCTCAGAGAGCTAAAGCAGAACTACCATTCCACCCAGCAATCCCAGTACTGGGGATATACTCAGAGGAATATAAATCATTCTACCATAAAGATACCTGCACACGTATATTCATTGCAGCTCTATTGACAATAGCAAAGACATGAAATCAACCTAAATGCCCATTAATGACAGACTAAATAAAGAAAATGGGATACATATACACCATGGAATACTATGCAGCCATAAAAAAGAACAAGATAATGTCTTCTGTGGGAATATGGATGGAGGTGGAGGCCATTATCCTTAGCAAACTAACACAGGAAAAGAAAACCAAATACTATATGTTCTCACTTATAAGTAGGAGCTAAATGATGAGAACTCATGAACTATAAGAAGGGAACAATAGACAATGGGGTCTGTTGAGGGTGGAGGTTGGGAAGAGGGAAAAGAGCAGAAAAAGTAACTATTAGGTACTAGACTTAGTATGTGGATGATGAAATAATCTGTACAACTAACCCCCATGACACCAGTACCTATATCACAAACTTTTACATGTATCCACTAAACTAAAAGTTAAAAAAAAGGATTCTAAATTAGAATAAGTATTTTACTTACATAGTAGATACTCTTCCTTCTGCTACATTAAAAATATTTACACTTTGAAACAGCAGGAGGAGTATGAAAACATTTCTATAAAACATCTAAAAATTATCAGTTTATCTTTTGTCTTTTCTTTTCTTTTCTTTTTTTCTGTTTTTTTGAGACACAGTCTCTGTCACCCAGGCTGGAGTGCAGCGGCGTGATCTCAGCTCACTACAACCTTCCCTCCAAGGTTCAAGCTGTTTTCCTGCCTCAGTCTCCCGAGTAGCTGGGACTACAGGCATGTGCCACCATGCCCTGATAATTTTTTTTGTATTTTTAGCAAAGACGGGTTTTCACCATGTTGGTCAGGCTGGTCTTGAACTCCAGACCTCCCAAAGTGCTGGGATTACAGGCGTGAGCCACCGTGCTCAGCCCAGTTTATCTTTCTAGCCATGTATTTCTCTAAACTCACAGAGATATCTGGAATTCAACTAACTAAATGTGTAAGTAGTGTGCTTGTATTTTTCTGTATTGCCTATTTTCATATTGGGCAAATGTTCTTTTTACACAGTAAATAAAAGGCAAAATGCTCTCCTAAAAATAATCTAATTTCTTAAGCATATTAATCACATAAAGCCTATGTCTGAAAAGCCTAATATTTACATCTCCTATTGGTCTATTTCTATTTTCTGTTTTACTATCTTGGCTTTTTCGGTCATTGAATCCTGTCAGCTAGTATATTGGGTAATTTTATTTAATTAATTTATTTATTTTACAAAATTTCCATTTTTATTTTAGATTCAGGGAGTGCATGTGCTGGTTTGTTGCAAGGGTATGCTGCATGATGCTGAGGTTTGGGCTTCTATTGATCCCATCACCCAGAGAGTGAACATACTGTATTGGGTAAGTTTAGATGAGGCTGCTTTCCAGCTAAGAGCTCAAGCCAGGTCACTAAGAACCTTGCAAATCACTTAAAATAATTTGGACCTAATTGTCACAGCAATGAAAAGACATTGAAGCACTTTAAGTGGGGAGATATTTTCATATTTACACTTTAGAACAGTGACTCTAGCTTCAGTGTGAGGGAATAAATTAGAAAGTAACAAGATGGGAGACATAGAGACTGATGGGTGAGGTTTGCAGGAATTCAGTAAGAGAGGATGATAAGGAAGGTCAGGATTTATGCTAATGGAGAGAGATATTTATGAGACAGAATCCATAGGATGACTCCTATGTTCCTGTTTTTGAAAACGGAGTGGAGAGAAAATGGTGCTATTTACTAAACTAGATAAAATTGGGGTGGTTCAAATTCAGAAGAAAGAAAAAGACTTCATTATGGACTTGTGGAATTTGACAGGTTTGTGAGATGTGCTAGTGCAGGTGGTTTAGACACTCACTGGATAGATCTAAAGATGTGGGAGTCGCCAGCACATAGCTGAGTGCAGTGTGATGCATGGACGTAGATGGAAGTGCACAGGGAGAATATGTAGGGTGGGGACAAGCATCTTGGGCAGAAGCCATTGAAATACAAACAGCCAAGAGGCCGGTAGACTTCTCTTTAGAAGCCTGAAATGGAGACTGAGATAGATTAACCATAGAAGCCTGAAATCTAGGAAAGAATGACGCCACAAAGCCCAAGGTAGAGATTGTTGTGAAGGGAACATGGTCACCAGTATTAAAATGCCACAAAAAAAGCACTGAAAAAAAGTAATTGTTGACCTTGCTGAGGAGCATTTCAATGGAGTAGCTGTGGGAGAAAGCTCATTACAGTAAGTTGAGGAGAGGATGGGGGTGAGGGGATAGACAGTGAACATAGGTAGTTCAGGAAAAAAAAAAGTGGCTCTCATGAAAAGGAGAAAGATTGACAGAAGGTATGTGACATTAGAAAAGGTTTATGTTTTTAAGATAAAGAAGATTTGACTGTGATGAAATGCCAATAAGAAAAATAGGCTGAGGGCGGTGCCTCATGTCTGTAATCCCAGCATTTTGGGAAGCAGAGGCGGGTGGATGACCCAAGGTCAGGATTTCGAGACCAGCCTGACCAACATGGCAAAACCCCGTCTCTACTAAAAATACAAAAATTAGCCAGGTGTGGTGGCAGGCGCCTGTAGTCCCAGCTACTCTGGAGGGTGAGACAGGAAAACTGCTCGAGCCCACGAGGCAGAGGTTTCAATGAGCTGTGATCACGCCATGGCACTCCAGCCTGGGCGACAGAGAGAGATTCCGTCTCAAAAAAGAAAAAAAAAGAAAAATAACCAGAGTGGGAGAGGTTGATAATACAAGAGAGAATAGATCTAATAAATAGAGATTTATCCAAGAAAACTGGAGGAAATGAGATCCAGAGCTCGGGGGCAACATCCACACTGGGCTCTTCGAGGTAAAGGAGATTTAAAAAAATATTATTCTACAAAAAGGAAAAAAGAGATAATGCATTGGGGGTACAGACCAGAGGCTAGTTTTAGGCAAGACAGTGAGAGGGTGGCTTCTATTTTCCATGTGAATTAGAGAGGCTTGCACATCTGCTACAGGGCTCAAGAAACAATGGACTTTTAAGAAATATGGTAGAACTGCCATAAAGCATGAAAGATACAGCTGACATCAAATACCATAAAGTTCTAAAGTTGTCCCATTCTGCAGGGTGATATTTACTTTTCTTAGCAGTTCCCAGAAAATTGGAGCAAGTGTGGAGGACGGGGGCAGTTAGATTCATCATGAAAAAAGATTTTGTTTTTTGGATCCCTTTGCAAACAACAGAACAAGGACATGGAGAACGCTGGCAAGCATGATGGACAAGAAAGAAAGAAGTGAAGATGAAAGGGAATGAATAGGTAGGAGGAATGAAGAAAATCTGAGATAAAGATTCCAGTTCACTGCCCTGGACCCGTAGTTGAGAACAACAAATTTTCTAGTTTGGGTGATTGGTACTATAATTATTTTTAAATTATATGTAAGTGACCAGTTTCCTTGGGATGGTCTTTGTTTATGCCTTTTTTGTTATCATGATTAGTAAGCCATCCCCTTTGACTCTTAAAAGTGTTCTGGTTTGACTAACACATTTTATTGTCTTGATATATATAAAGAGAGATGACACGAACTAGGCTTGGTCAAAGGAAAATAATGAGCTCAATTCTGGAAATGTTAAGTTCATGAAGCTATGGGAAATTCAGATTGAAAGGTCAAGTAAACTGAACACACATACAGACACAACTAAATTTATCCATAAAACAAATTCAGACAGTACTGAATAAATTATAATTTAGTGATTGACTCAAGAATGATATACTAATTTGCAGACAGACTCAGAAAATATTTGCATTACATACTTGAAGTTACTTTCTCTGTATTAAATTATACAGCAATTTAGGTAAAGTGAAAATATTAATCATGTAAGGATGAGGAATCATGTTAACATTGACCAAATGGTCAAGCTGGACTTTTACATTGGGTAATACCTCAAAGTGTCACAAGGTGGCAGCACAAGCACAATATAACATGTAATTAACAAGGGTCAAGATCCTTTCAGGTATTCTGCAGTTAGAATTTATACCTGTTGTATATTATATATATTTTTTTCTGAATGTATGGTCCTTAATTTAAAAATGATTATTTTGTTTTATCGTTATTGCTGACTTGAAAATGGAGCACATAAAAAGTTTAATTTTCTAATATGTACATTATTTTAAAATATTTTAGCTAGAATAAAAAACATGATCATGAATATACATTGATGGCATTCTCAGGATAATTATTAGCACATAGTGTATATAATGTCATAGTTATAAATGCTCTGTAAGTTTGCATCTTGATCAGTATATTTTAGATCAAAAATTTTATTTAGATCATCTTTTTAATATATTTATCTCGCTAGTAAAATCTGTGACTTTTTTCATTGGCCTGTAGAAGGAGAGTGTTCAGAAATTTCATGAAAAAATTTTGTTGGCATATTCTAGTTACAGTAACTTTAAGTAGGGGATAGGGTTGTCAGGTTTAGTTAAAAAAATACAGAATATCCAGTTAAAATTGAACTTTAGAAAAACAAGAATTTTTTTTGGTATAAATATGTCCCATGAAATATTGGGGTAATACTTAAAGTTATTGAATGATTGAATTTTTTTTTTGTATTTTATCAAGCAGTCCTATAAGGGGAGGGAGGAGAACCTGGACAAAAAAAAAAAAAGGAAGTTGCTGAGAAGTCCAGAGAAATCCAGGATTATGGACTACAAATCTGACCTAAGATTTAGAAGCCTTCAGAATCAAGGAATTAGAAAACGAATTATAAATAGACTTGAATTAGTCTGCATTCTGTGGCAAACTCATTTATATGGTAAGCTAAACAACATGGGCTATGGTTAATCAAGTACTCTGGTGAATTACCATCTACACCACACATTGATTACTGATTTTTAAACAACAAAATGCAGCAACATATATTTAAAGTTAGTTCGGTATTGGACAAAATGTAATAAACAACTATAATCTAGACATTTTGGGGTCTTACTCAGGGTTATCATTATGAAAATCTGTCATTAGAGCTTCAAGGCACGGAAATACCATTTTAATTTCCTTTAATTCAACAAACATGTCTGGCACCTTCTATATGCAGAGGACTGACTAGGACTGTGAGATGTAAGGATTAATAAACATTGCTGTTATCCAACTGAGTGGATATTTATAGTTAATAAAATAAAAAGTTAAATTCATGCATTAATCATGTCAAAACTCATTCTTACTAATTCTTCCCTGGGTTTCAGTTCTTGGTTAACTGCTTCTCCCTTAGTATATCCCTGGGATGATCGATCCCTTCTCTCTTCCAGATGATTTTCAACTACCATTTTAATGCCAGAGTCTTCCAAATCTCCATTTCCAGCCATGACTTCTCCCATGTACTTAAGAAATGTGCATTCAACTCCTATGAGTTTTTGGCTGTCCTGTTGGCACTTCTTCCTAAATTAGACTAATCATTTTCTCCCAGAAACTTCTATTCTTCCTATATTCCTAATCTTAGTCAATTGCATCCCTCCTCAGGTAATCATCCATCCTTAAAACAGTCACACTATCTCAGACTTCTCGTCCACATCCAGTCAATGCATCCCATTCAGTCATGCCTACGCTGTTTTGATGACCTCTGAATGGGTTTTCCACCTCCAGTCTTGCTTTCCTTAGAGATTTACTGAGATTAACAATTAATTTTATTTACATGATTAATTTTATACTGTAGTGATTATCATTTACATCTTAAAAGAGTTTATAAATTTAACAACATTGCTGGGTAAGAAGAGACATAAGGAAACAAAAACAGAGCTGGGGAACGGTTTGGGTTTGGAGGTATTCAGACATCTGAAATATAGGCACTTGGGATAGAAAGTCAGGACACCCCCGAAGCCCCATGTTCTGCACTGTGCTGGACACCAACAGCGGCAACAGGATGTCAGGCATTCGTATCTCCAAGCCAGCTGAATAATGCAGGCTAATGACCCCTCTCCTCTAGGCTACTGGAAAGACACGAAAGGAAATCACCTCTCTAAATCAGGGTCATCAGTCCTAGAAATTTAATAGGCTGTGAGCACATCTTTATGTTGTAAGACCAGAACAATAGCTTACAAGAGCACCAAACGATGGTAGCATAATCTAATGGGGTATAATAAAAAAAACTACATAAATTAATGAAATACTTAATAAAATATGGCTATGATTATGCTAATTAAACATAAACTGAGAAGATATTTAAACAAATGACTCTGATTCATGTCACTTTTATAAAGCCAAAGCAGATTTTCACTGTTTTCTTTTTTTTCATAGTTTTCCAGAAGCTATGATCAGCATCAACACTGAAATGTCTCTGAAACCAATTTTACTGTACTTACATACCTGAGAAAATATTTTTAAAAGATGTTGGCTTTGACCCGTATTTTCAACATGATGGCTGATTCCTGTGCTTCTCCTATGCATATTCCTTTTTCATCTCCACGACTTTGAGGAATTCTTGGACCAAGTATGTGGATTCTCACTGCTCCCTCCCACTAAACCTGGATATTTGGGGTGGCATAAGGGCTCGAAACTGTAGAACTTAAGAAGCTATGGATGCGCTACCTGTCCAGGGGCCACAGTTGAAGCACTGTCATGAAGGGCTGAGGGGATCAAGAGCAGAGATTAAGGCAAAGTGAACAGGAATGTTAAAACAGGATGGATGTTGGATGCCCCTTGGGGCAAAGGGAAGAGAGATCTGTCTGGCTAAAGCGCTAGGGGAGGTGGAAGAACAGGTTGATCAGGCTCAGCTGAAAGGAGCCAGTAGTTAACATGGTCCTTCACATTTCTGGAAGGAAACAGGCCTTGAGGGAATCCATCTGTTCTCACACAGGGAGTGGAGATAACTGAGAGACTGAAGACCTTGGGGGATTCAATGAGGCTTAATTACACCCTTTGGTGTAAGGATGGGAAGGCTCCCAGATGTTTAAAATTCTTTTTACAGAAAACAAAACATTTACTTTAAAGAAATAAAGGACTTAAATTGTAAATGCATGAGTGAAACTCATTCACACTTAAGTGTAATGCATGAGTGAACCTCATTCACAATTAAATGTAGTCAAGAAATCAATAAACCAGAGAACTATCAGATCCTCTGGGATGCAGGGGTAGAGAGCAGGAGTCTCGGTTTATGAGATAGAGGGGTTAGAAGGCTTGGGTAAATGCAAAGAAAGGGAGCCAGGAAATTAGGAAGGCAAATTTCACCTACTTGGCAAATTTTACTAGTGATTCATGATGCGTATCCATCTGTCTCCTCCACTGGTTTGTGAACTCCTTGAGCCAATTACTATGCAACACCTAGCGTGGTGCCTGCCTGGTGCAAATGGTAAGCACTAAATCATTCTTGCTTAATCTGAACTTTAGTTTCATACTGGTGGACAACAATTCTGTGCAAATGCATTTTTGTGTTTCCTGTCCATCCAAGCAGACATATTATTGGAACCCTAGTCCTCTTGGGGTTTTGGAGTGTCAGAACTGCCTTTCCAGGCCCATCTGTGTCCACACAGCCAAGAAACAAAGCTGTTATCCACTCAGCTCAGCATTTGCACACAAGGGAAAATAATTTTTAAAAATGCATGCTCAAAATTTTCTTAATACCAAAACTATGAGGCCAGAACTTTTTGGTTATTTTTGTTACTCAAAGTACATTTCAGGACCTTGTAACATTTCGGGTTTATGACATCAGTTTTGACTTTCTGATTATTTTAGAATGGATTTTCATAGTGTAAAATGAGGGGGATCACATGGGACTAGCACAGTGCCTGGTAAATAGCCAGTGCTCAATACATTTTTGTTGAATAAACAAATGAATAAATGAATGATCAAATGAGGTGATCCTCCAAATTCAAAATAACAGAGCGAAAATGAGAAAAAAAATTCACAGAGTATGAATGAAGACAAAACCAAGGAATATCCATAAGACTTTGTGAAAGGCTTAGGGAAATCTAGACTTACCATAAACATAATTTGAATATTATTTAATTTAATTGGATATTATAGTAATTGGAATTTAGTAACCAGTAGAGTAAATTGTGTTCTTTTTGGATGTTAGATTGGGCAGAAGGGAAAATTTCTGTTGTCTTAAACAGATTGAGAACCAGCCCTTTAACTTTAGTAAGTTTTCCAAGTTATTTTTACTCTGAATTTTTCTTTTTGTTTTGTAAATAGTCTCCTGGTCTTGTAGCAATACCCTGATCTCAGGTGTCACCCCTGTTAAGCCGTAAAACAATCAGTGGAGTCTCAAAATAGTCAGCAACATTTGATACTTAAATTCTGGCTATCTCTGAGACACATAGCTAAAAACTCTTAATAACAGCTATCTCCTTCCATGTCTCTATCAGTGGGAGAAGTTATTATGTGGAGCAAAGGCAATATAACTATAAGCATCAGACCATTTCAGAGAGCTTGGCTGGTTTTCTCTTGTAAAGTTTGTTCTTGTCTAGTATCCTTAAGTCATCCGAAATCATTAAAACTTCTTGTAACATGGCAGAAAACTTTAAAAGAAGGCTGGGCATGGTAGCTCATGCCTGTAATCCCAGTACTTTGGGAGGCCGAGGCGGGTGGATCACCTGAGGTCAGGAGTTCGAGACCAACCTGGCCAACATGGTGAAACCCTGTCTCTACTAAAAATACAAAAATTAGCCGGGCATGGTGACACATGCTTGTAGTCCCAGCTACTCGAGAGGCTGAGGCAGGGGAATCGCTTGAACCTGGGGAGTGGTGGTTGCAGTGAGCCAAGATCACGCCATTGTACTCCAGCCTGGGTGACAGAGCAAGACTCCATCTCAAGGAAAAAAAAACAAAAACTAGAAAAGTTATGATTAAACTTCTACTTTAAGGACCTCTGACTTTTAGGCAGTCTCTCACTAGCTCTCTCACTAGAATGAGTATGCAATTCATTCTAAATCACAAGGATGATCCAATGAAATTATTAACAGAATGTGTTTTTTTCCTGGTAGATAATGATCTACTGGAAATAAAGATTAAGATAATCTGCTTTATTTTATATAATTGATGATGCTAATTCCAAACAGTACCTCCAATCAGCACAGGTTATAATTTTGTGATATTAATGAAAAACAACTTAATGAGCGGGTCTCCTTCTTTCACTGTGTAGGTTTCCCTGCCATACAAAAACCAAACTCTTCCAAAGAGGAAACTTCCATTCCACAACAGCACGCCTAACTCTATTTTTGGATTACACCTACAAAGCTCCCCAAGTAACAAATTCATCATTTTTTTCTACTGAGGCATTTTACCTTCCTATATGAATTTCACAACTTGTATTGATTAATGCTGATTGTCCTGATCACTGTTGCAATTGTCACATAACTTGCAAAGAGCCAGTTGGAGTGATAATTCGTATATCTTTTAAAGAAAAGGTTTTTAAAGCTCTCAGTGCAATACTCAAATGGACTAATCTTCTATGGTATCTTAATGCTTCCTTCAAGTGGTGGTTTTCCATGTAATTGTTTTTGTCTAGAATTTTTTTTCTATTAGATCAACTTCATGGAAGCCAGGTTCCTGCTTCAAAACTCCAAGTGAACAACAAGTATAGATGAAGTTGTTTTACATGCTAATTATTAGTGTTTGAGAGCAATATTTTATAAAATAGACCTCATTACTCAAAAACAACTTGTACTACTATCCTTTCCAATTTAATAAAAAAATCAAAGAATATGAAACAAAATGTGCAGCTGTGTGGTAACCTTTTAAGCTAGTAGTTATTTTCCCAACTAAATTCAGTAACATTAAACCTTAGAGAAATTTATTTCTATTTCAGGAACAGTGATTTAAGATGGTCAAACTCTTTCCACCAGTCCTTGAACAATTCCATGACCTGTCTGTCTAAAACAAATCCTATATTAGAAGTGAGTTGCAGTTATTAAGCTATATCCTTGTGGAGGCGGAAAGTTAATGGTAAAGTATCCAACAAAGAGTAAAGTGATCTTAAATACAACCAGTAGGGATTTCATAAACTGTTTAGTTGTACCTTAATTTTTAACTTATATAAACATCACTTGCTTTAGTTTCTACCCTGAGCACCTATCCCAATGTCTGGCGTGTAGTTAATGTTCAACAAACGTCAACCGAGGGAGTCAGAGTATTTTAAGAAGCCGGTGAGAAAGCCTTCTTTGACTTATCCACTAGGTGGCACACAGGGACCATGCTTCACACAGTTAACCACCACAGACCCTCCCATTCAGTGTAAATAAAGAGATGCATTATTAATTTATACCACCTCGTCCTCTCTACTCCTAATAATTGTTTAACCAGCTGTTTCCTCTAATCCTCCTTAAACACTATTGATTAAAATCCTAAGTATATTCAGGTTTCCATCCTTTCCTACTTCTTCCAACAGCATTTTGCTACCTTTAAATGACAGGCTAAGTACACTTAAATGACATAGACTAAGTACTATGGTTACTACTCATGGCTGCAGGATGTCAGAAAATTAATTTGAAGCACTATCAAAATTATTTTCAAATTTGCCTGGTATTTCGTCAGAATTTTAACTGGTGAGAGATCATGATCTTAAAAATGCAATCTGAAAAATAAAATGTGCATGGGGCAAAAAGAAATGAAAAAGAAAACTAGTATTTTCTAAGGAAGGGAGTCATTTTCTGAATATAACTTTTGTTCATCTTTACAAAGATGAAGTGCATTGCTATCTTAAGATTCAAAGGACTTCTTCAACTGTTCAGAAAATACCAATATTCCACACCTAAGATGCTAAAAGGCAGGATTGTTTAGTAGACCGTTTACTCATAAAGTATCTTTCTGTGTACTCTGAATGTATTTATCCTGGATGTGTTACTTGCTCCCAAAGGAAGGAAAAGGAAGTGAAACCACTAGGGATATAATGAATTGATTCTTCTCTGTGAAAGTCTCTTCAGTACTTCTAAATTACAGTGTCAGTCATTCCTCTGAGAGACAGGGCCTTGCTGAAAATAAATGGCTCATTTTATAAATAAGTACATAATGTTTCCCCACCTTCTTGTTTCTCATAGAAAGCCCAGGCCCATAAGGCATTCCTGTCGAGAATACTGGCCTCTGGGTACATTCCTCCTGTAGAGCAGTGGTCTGTTGAGGTTGTTGGTTATCTCTTGTTCATTTAATTAGCCTTAAGTAAAATTACTTCTTATCTAGTTCTGTTTTTAAGCTGTTTCCAATTTAGTGGAAGAGGTCATCAACAAAAGTATAAATTCATTTCTTAGCTGAAACAATTAAATTTTTTAAAATGGGTGGTATAAAAGTGACTAAAGACTAAAGCTAATATCTGAAGAGTCCTTTGGTATACATTATATTTTACTGAATGGAAGAGAAACTTTCATTTTTGTAGGTAAATGGAATTTGTTAACTGATATAAGAATTATGAATCATATCACATTAAAAATTCTCCAAAGATAACTACTATGATATACTTTTGATAGAACAATATTCCCATTCCATTAAAATACTGAAATGACTGAAATGTGTATAAAATCTCTGCAAATTTAGTACACAGAAATAATCACATAGAAATAGTTACCAGAAACTACAATTGTAATGAATAAATATTACATTCATTTAGAAATCAATCCACAGCCTTAATTTCTTAAGAACTATTAGCTTCCAAGAAGCCAGCCAGTATGTTTGATTTTATGACATCACACTGGAACATGTACAGGAACACTTTCCACCCTAAAAATTCCCAAATGTACTGGCCACTGTGTGTATTTTTCCAGTGATAAATGAAAATAAAGCAACTTATTCTCAAATTAATAAGCCATCTTATTTTGAACACAACAGTCACATTCAATGGAAGAAAACTACTTAATCGAAGCCCAAACAAGTTTAGGTTTGTTTTTGGTGGGGAACAGTCTCAACATACAAATAATTTCTTTAAGCAACTTTTAACAGTAATCTTAACTATGACTATAAATTCTCTTCAGTGCATTCAAATTATCCATCAACATCATTGTATATATGAAATGCATCATCATTCTATGATCTTAAGTTCATAATTAGCTGGAGAAGGAAGCCTGGGCCAAAAATGGCAACATTTCTAAGATTATTAATCTAACAGGTATTACCTATGCCTAAAGTAACTTTCTTTTTCACATAACCCTATATATTCTCTGAAACAAAATTCATAAGCCTGGCTGGACATTCCCATTCCTCACCTTTCCCTTCAGCCTATACTATCCTTGTTTCATCTCAGGTGCTATAAAAATGGTTGTTGAGATACAGATAGAAAAGTCACCACTTGGAAACCATGACCCTACCAGATTTACAGGAGCACTAGCAGAAGCTAAGATACTAGAGTTAATTCTTTCTCCATTTTTAGACTGAGCCTGTTTATTGTAGTGAAATATTTTATCCGACAATATGAAACTTTTTTAAAAGTTGAGGTGTCATATTAAATTCAAATGAAAACTAAACTCAAAAGAAAAGAATAAAATTTGTTTAATGTATATATACATTGCATGTGTATTGCCCTCTGAAATCTTAAAGGCACAAAGGTATAACCAAAAGAGGGGGAAACAATTTGCAAGTTTTACCTTGTCCTGAAATCCAGGAGTTCGGATGCTCTCAAGTTCTGCTTAAGTTGGAAGCTGGAGATCAAGTGAAGCTAGCGCTCTTTCTCCTCACCTTAAGTTTGTCTCTGGGCGAGTGTGAGAGTGTGTGTGTGTGTGCGTGTGTGAGTGTGTGTGCAGAATGTCTCTTTGTGGCGCTGGATGGCAGAGGTCCTGATCCTGGGAAGAAGGAGGCACTTTCTCACCAAGAGCAGAAGAAAAGCAAAGCGTCACCAGGAAAGTTCTCCTCCCAAATCCCCTAATTACAGCCTAATGTGCACTTCATGCAAACTTCAGGGAGGAAGGGAGGGGCAGCTCTGTGCCCAGACCTTGTAAAGCAGCAGCCTCTTAGATGACTTTCCCCTCTGCTCAGATCCCGAGTATCCCGCTCTGGGGTTTAGGAAAGCCGGCCGCTACAGCCACACAAGCCCCCACCACACCACACCTCCCGAACCCGAACCCTCATCAGTCCTGGGTCTGTCCAGAAGGGATGGGACAAGGGGTCTGTGGAATGATCTGCGGGGCAGCGGTGTGAGCAGACTCCTCAGGACAGTCAGTTTGCGCTTTGTTTTATTAGCCTCTGCTTAAAAGAAAAATCCAAGGGTCGGAGAGGTCCTCTCTTTCCCGCCTTCCCCTCACCAAAGGAGATCAAGGATAACAGACAATGATGATAGTGGCACATAAAGCTTCTTAAACTGGAGATGGCCTTCCACCCAAATCACCAGAAGCATATTTTCTGGTTTACTGGACTCAGTATTGGTGTTGAGTTTAAATTTCTCTTAACAAACAACTGCTATTGTATCCTTGGATGACAGAGCTCAAAGAACCTGGATTTATTTATAGAACGAGGAATGCGAGGGGGAGACGGGATGGGTGGGGTTGGGTTGTGGATCCATAACCAGGATTAGAACCAGATGGGCACAGGGCGCGCGCGCGCACACACACACACACACACACACACACACACACACACAGACACACACACCCCTGAAATAACCAGTGGGGAAGATGCTGGGACACGCGGGAAAACGCCTCCTGAACAAATAGACGTTTATTTATAACTTCTGGGAGAGTATATAGGTCCATTGATTCCCGCCTTGAGTAACCAAGGGTTTTGGAGAGGAAATGGCTTCATATTTCAATAACAGAGCCACCTTTGATGGAGTCTAGGAAGGGGAAAAAAGAAACACACCGCAGGAAGCAAACGGCTGTTGGAGCAGCCGGGAGGAGGGAGCGGGGCTGGCCCTGGGACTGAGGACAAGCAAACAAGCTCGAGGGGCCCGCGGCCAGGGTGGAGGCGAGACGCAGGCCGTCCCCGAGTTGCAGCGAGCAGGGCCCGGTGTCGCGGAGCGCTGGGGACGTGCGGGGATTCGCGGCCGTGCTCCCGGCTCCAACCTCCGGCCCCGGCGGGGCGGCGCGGGCGGGACTGCGGGCTTCTTAAGGCCGCCGCCGCCGCTCGGGCTGTGGCGCGGGTTGGGGAGAGGGTTCCGTGGGCCGTAGGGACTGAGGGAGTCGTAAGTCGATGAGCTAGTGGGGCAGGAGGATGGGCGGGTCCAGGGCGTCCTGGAGGTGCAAGGTGGGATGGGAGGACCTGAGGGGCAGCCAAGCTGCTGGGGAAGCCGCCGGGACGGGGGCTCTGGCCGACAATGCAGGTGGCCGGTGTGCAGATGAGCCAGCGCGCGGGGTGCGGCCGCCGGGATGCCCGATCCGAGTCGCGCGGGTGGCGGCGAGCGGCGCTATTGTCTTAAAGATAAAGCCTAAGCCACGGGGACTGCCTCCTCCTGGACTCTGGAGAGAGGCGGGAGAGATTGCAGGGGAAAAAAGGCTTCTTCCCGCGTCTTCTGAGAGATTTCACCAGTTCTTGCCTCTGGGCTCCCCCTTGCCATTCTGTCTTTGGTAAATCAACACGTGCCTCTTGGAAAGGTTTCATTTCAAAGACAAACGGAACACTCACACACCCTCCCTAAATGAAGACAGTTATATTCAAAATGAATTCTTCATCAGGCGTTCAACACCTTTCTTGGAATTCCAAAACCTGGGTGAGGGCGCTTCTCTTATTTTTCTGTTTCCCCTCCCGCACAGGGAACAGGTTTTGCAGTTTTATGTCCCTAATCTAGTGGCTATTGAGGCAGCTGTTATATAGGCCTCTACATTAACTGCCAATAAAAATAAGATACATCTCGGCTTTTCAACTATGCAAAGGGTTTTTATGCTATTCATATTTCTTGTAAACGTTCAGGGTGGTGTGTATTTTAAAGAACATAAACGAATTAGACTTATAAACAAATATCCAATTTTTATATTAAAGCACCATAAAGGTGGTAAGGCTGGTGGTGTGTGGCTATGATATCATATAAAGACAGTTTAAATACCGATCTTGTTCCCTCAGCTTAACAACCTAATTTCTGGCGATTGCCTGGAGCGTAAATCAAATCAGCTGGCTCATGGCTGGCACTTGTTCCCCTATTTTGTGGTCTGCTCTATACACTTATTCCGGCACAACATTAAGATAATTTAATGTATTCTCTTCTGAAATTGTTTAATAACCACCCAAGACAATCTATTTTGCAACTTAGTCACACCATGGTGAGCTACACTAGATTTTTTTTCAATCTCAGGTATAGCCGCAACTATTGAGATAGACTTCCAGAAATAATGACAGGTACTTACCTCTGAGTCATCCTGTCCCTCCTGATCCTCCCCTATTTCCAGCCTTCCCTTCCCCATTGCCTCCTTACTAGTCTTTGTTAAAGATCCCCAGTCTTTTTAATCACAAATATTTAACCTATCAATAGTGTGTATTTGAAGTGTTATTCAGGCTTAATTTAATTGACGTTATATACATTTTTCCATTCGTTTTGGGGTTCACATGGTTTTCTAGTTATTTAAATTTACATTGGAATTAGCTTTAAGAGTCTTTTAAAAAGATTTTTATGTTCAGTTAATTAATGTTCAGCCAAATTGTGCTTTATGGAGGCATACATTACTTTGATTAGCCCTTATAGTTTTTCATCAGGGCACAGGCATTATAATAAGCCATGGTAAAAAATCAAATCAAGTAAATGCAGGAATAAATACAACTCTATTTTCATGACTAAATATTTTACAAAGATATAAATTGTAAAAATAATTTTTGAAGACCAAAATATCTTCTTAAAGAAAACCATATCAAAAAAGTATTCTGTATTTGAAGATTTCCTGTATTTATTAACATTAGTAAGTCATGTGGAAATTCAAATCTTTCCTTTGTTAAATCAAGGTTAGCCTAAAGCTGTCTTCTTACATATTTTAAGTTTGGCCTAAAGGTTTCTCTGTACATTGTGAACTATAACCTGAATGGAATTGTAAACAGACTGTAGCCTGCTCTTGTGGCAACACTGAGCTTTGGCCAATCACATGTGGCCAACTGTTCAAACCCTGTTCAAATAAGGCAAAGGTGGAGCTATAACCAGTCCGGGGGTTTCTGTACCTCACTTTCCTTTTTCTGCCCATAAACCTTCTACCACGTGGCTGTGTTGGAGTTTCTGAGCCTGCTCTGCCTCTGGAGACTGTTGGAATTGTTCTTTGCTTAATCAAACTCTTTTAAATTTAGTTTTGCTAAAGTTTTTTTTTTCCCTAACACATAGCATATTGAGGTTTGTTTTATTTGCTTTTTTAATTTAGAGAAGGCAAATAAGCCATTTTTTTAAGTTTCAAGAAAAACCAAACTTTTTTTTATTTTTCAATAATATATTTTGAACTATTTCTCATTCTTATTAAATAATCTGATGTTAAACAATATTATTTCAAAATATGCTGATGTATTTATATTATATAAAATTATATATCAAAATATTCTATATATAATATATACAGCATATTTTGAAATGATGTTTAATGTAATACAACAGTATTTTATAAGAATGAAAAACAGGTTAAAAAATGGTGTTATAAAATGTAACTTTGCATTCTTTTGCTAATTGTAACACAATTTGAGTAATTAGGTTGAACCAGATAAAATGGAATATTCAACCTTTTTTGACCTACCAAAAAGCAATTTCAGCTGGTTTCACCTTATACAAATTTGAATATGTGTGTAGCATAAGTGTAGCAGGAACATTTTCAACTTTTAAAAAAATATTGATCTGCAATATCATGAATATTTAATATGTAATAAATTCCCAAGCAGAATAGTATGCCTGCTGGCATATTACACTCGTAACAAAATATACATTTATATTCAAAAGGGGATTATCTAAATTCATCTCCTCTTCAAACTCCAAAAGAGGCTGCTGTTATCCACTAAATTCCAGAGAATTGCTTCCCTCTGAGCACTTGTTTCCTGGAATTTTTGCCTCAGGCTGACATTATATCTGATTGAACATCTGCTAGGATAAAGGTTCAGCTTCGTGCACTTTGGAGGTACTGGGGGGAGGAAAGCCATTTGACCTTTCCTGTCTGAGGGCTCAGAACTTCATTAAAGCACCTCCTGGGATTGTGGGCATAGCCATGAGAAAGACACCATTTGTAATTAAGTCCTTCCCACTGGCTATATTCCTGTTGAACTCGATGATTAAAATACAAATTCAATATTCTAAATGGTCACAAAGCATTTGATAAAAGGTTATTTTGCTTTTAATGCAATGAGGGGGAGGGATGACTTTCCAAGAGCCCACTTTTTGTGCTCACTCTCAGAAAGTGTCCAGCAGACAGACTCTTCAAAAGGGCATGCTAAATAATTAGGCAATAAATTGTTCAAATGTTAAGAGCAGAGCTGTTCCAGAAGCTACTGAGGCCAAATGAGTCCATCATACCAAGTGATAAATATCCTTGGCTCCTAAGAAGTAAGCGCCTGCTTGTCCCTATGTTGGTCTATTGAATTGGTTCTGGGTTCACAGCATCATCCATTATCTTTCTTGTAATTTATTGTTCTCTCAGTGTGTTTCTTTTGTCCAGAACATCCAAACTCTTCCTTCATTTCTTCAATGAATTGATAAGTATTTCATTATTGTCCTGATTTTACTAATTTTGCAATAGGACCCAGATTCAGTCCCATCTCCTTTGTCAGCTTTTTGTTTCTGTTTGTAGCTACAATGAATTTTAAAACAGAACTTTCTAATAGTTTATTTCTTTTAAAATACCTGACATAATGACAAAATATTAACATTTTTCAAATCTGAGGATTGAAAACACTGGTCTCAGGTTTTTTTTCTATTTTCTGTTTAAATTACAACTGAAAAAATATATAAATAAAAAAGATATAGGAAAAAAGAAGACAAAAATAAGTAAGGGTCACCAGAATGTCAGCTCCATAGGGCAGACATCTTTGGTTGGTTTGGTTTTACTGGCCTATCACAAGCACTGAGAACAGTACCTGGCACTCAGTAGGTACTCCCATAGATATGATTTGAAGGTTTATGGCACTCATGTCACTATTTAGAAGTTGAGATGCAAGGTCATACAAGTAGGGAGTGAAAAAGCTGGGATCAAACCTAAAGTCTGGAATATTTTCCTTGTCCCATGTTACCTAGAAAGTCTAGATCCTTCAGTGTTTTTTTTTTTTTTTTGAGACGGAGTCTTGCTGTGTCACCAGGCTGGAGTGTAGTGGTGCAATCTCGGCTCACCACAACCTCCACCTCCCGGGTTCAAGCGATTCTCCTGCCTCAGCCTCCCCAGTAGCTGGAACTACAGGCACGTGCCACCACGCCCAGCTAATGTTTGTATTTTTAGTAGAGACCGGGTTTCACCATATTTGCCAGATGGTCTTAATCTCTTGACCTCGTGATCTGCCCGCCTCAGCCTTCCAAAGTGCTGGGATTACAGGCATGAGCCACCGCGACCAGCGATTCCTTTGGTATTTTTAAAACACAGATCTATCCATGCTTCTCTGCGTTGTTGACAATGAAAACTTATATATACCAAATACTACGTAAATTCTTCCAAATCTCAGAAACGGTAGAGATTTGAAGGTAAAACTTCCTCTGTGTGTATGAACTTCTCAAGGGCCAAACTTTTAATACTTACCTCATTTCTTACTTTTTTTTAGTTCTTCTAAAAATAAAAACAAGACACATGTGCAGAATGTGCAGGTTTGTTACACAGGTATGCATATGCCAAGGTGGTTTGCTGCACCTATTGATCCATCCTCTAAGTTCCCTCCCCTCACCCTCATCTTCCACCCCACAACAGGCCCTGGTGTGTATTGTTCCCCTTTCTGTGTCCATGTGTTTTCAATGTTCAATTCCCTACTTATCTCATTTCTAGTGCCCCGCACAGTTTAGTGCACAAAGTGAATTGTCCTCATTTTTGTGGTCATCTGTAGCAGAGTTTGAGTGATTTGGCAAATGATTAACCCTTCTCCTGTGTGCTTGCAGAATAATCCAATTCTACTTAACTTAGAGTTTTTAAAGTGGTTCTAGGAACGTGAATCATCACTGTAGATGAATATCTTTCTTTCACAACATCAAATATGGTTCCCTTATTGATGACAATCAATCCAAGTAAGTGATCCTTATATGCATTTCTGTCTGTTTGGGAGCAGATTGATAAGAAACCAAAAGCAATGGCAACAAAAGCCAAAATGGACAAATGGGATCTAATTAAACTAAAGAGCTTCTACACAGCAAAAGAAACTAACATCAGAGTAAACAGGCAACCTACAGAATGGGAAAAAATTTTTGCAATCTATCTATCTGACAAAGGGCTAATACCCAGAATCTACAAAGAACTGAAACAAATTTACGAGAAAAAACCCCATGAAAATGTGGGTGACGGATAGAACAGACACTTCTCTAAAGAAGACATTAATGGGGTCAACAAACATATGAAAAAAAGCTCATCATCACTGGTCATTAGAGCATTGCAAATCAAAATTGCAATGAGATACCGTCTCATGCCAGTTAGTATGGCAATCATTAAAAAGTCAGGAAACAACAGATGCTGGCAAGGCTGTGGAGAAAGAAGAACACTTTTACACTGTTGGCTGGAGTGTAAATTAGTTCAACTGTTATGGAAAATAGTATGGTGATTCCTCAAGGACCTAGAACCAGAAATATCATTTGACCCAGCAATCCCATTGCTGGGTATATACCCAAAGGATTACAAATCATTCTACTTTAAAGACACATGCACACATATGTTTATTGCAGCACTGTTCACAATAGCAAAGACTTGAAACCAACCCAAATGCCTATAAATGATAGACTGGATAAAGAAAATGTGGCACATATACAGCATGGAATACTATGCAGCCATAAAAAGGATGAGTTAAAGTCCTTTGCAGGGACATGGATGAAGCTGGAAACCATCATTCTCAGCAAACTTACACAGGAACAGAAAACCAAACACTGCATGTTCTCACTCATAAGTGGCAGCTGAACAATGAGAACACATGGACACAGGGAGGGAAGCATCACACACCGGGGCCTGTCAGGGGGTGGGGGTCTAGAGGAGGGATAACATTAGGAGAAATGCCTAATGTAGATGACGGATTGATGGGTGCAGCAAACCACCATGGTACGTGTATACCTATGTAACAAACCTGCACATTCTGCACATGTATCCCGGAACTTAAAGTATAATAATTTAAAAAAAAAAAAAAAAAGAAAGAAAGAAAGAAACCCTTAACAAAATTGGGACTATTATGGGAAGATTTGGGGCAAAAGTCTACTCATTAGGGAGGGACTCCAAATTATTTTCGAAGACTTATTCCTGTTACTTTTGGTGTTTCATTCAATAAAATCCAGTGTTTCTTATTGACACACTCATGCAGATTAATGCATAGGAGCAGCCAGAACAAAAAATGAGATATGCCAAAAAAGTGCTTAGGATAAACTGTAGTCACTGAATCTGAAGAGCTTTCTCAGTGGTGACTGTTCAGACTGGCACATTTTAAACTTCGATGAAATTTGAAATGTCTTAGGATCTAAATTTTAAAATTCATGCTGTCAATGGGGCAAATTATATTTGTGTTAGGAAGAATCCCGAGAATTTGGCAACCTCTTTGGCTCTTGCATTTTGAGGATTCAGAATTAGAAATGGCCCACTTTTAGTAAATGTTGGGCATAACTGTCTTCCTTTGGACAGTCTCCTTGTTCTTAGTGATGCCATAGTGATCTTCAACCTCTTGGTCTTGCTTAGTACTATTTCTATTTTAAGAAATATACAATTTAACTGAAGGAATTTCTAAAATTTACATAAACGTTTTTCCCTCGTCACCATATGTATTCATTCCTGAAAACTCATGTAGTTTTTTTAAAAACACATTTACCTATCTTTCCCCATTCCTGCCCAAGTCTTTATCTTATCTTATCTTTATTTTATTTTATTTTATTTTGAGAAGGAGTCTCACTCTGTCGCCCAGGCTGGAATGCAGTGGCGCAATCTCGGCTCACTGCAACCTCTGTCTCCTGGGTTCAAGCAATTCTCCTGCCTCACCCTGCTGAGTAGCTGGGATTACAGTCGTGCACCACCATGCCCAGCTAATTTTTGTATTTTTAGTAGAGACAGGGTTTCACCATGTTAGTCAGGCTGGTCTTGAACTCCTGCCTCAGCCTCCCAAAGTGCTGGGATTACAGGCGTGAGCCACTGTGCCCAGCCTGAGTCTTTATCTTGACTCCTCCCTTGGTTGGATTGTGTCATAGAGGCAGTTACTGGCTGATTTAGAAGAGCTAATGGTGGCTTTGGTCTATGCATTTTTGTGTTTTGTGAAATGTCTTTCTGTGATTTCTGAACTAGTGTTTCATAAGTTATTTTCCATTCAGCCATTGCTGGTTTATTGCTCTTCCTGATTACTTTCACCAGTGAGACCTTTGGATAGGAAAGAACTATTGTCTTTACAAGGATTAAGCACCTATAAGATTGCCATGAAACCCACTTCATGTTGCAGGAGATTCAACCTTTGAATAAGATTCAACCTTTGAATAAGATAGAGTATTAAATATTTGAATCTATATTAATTGTGCATTGCTTTCTAAAGGTTTTGTATTTTAAACATCTATTTTTTAGAGGATAAAAATTGTACTTATTTATAGTGTACAATATGATGTCCTCACATATGTCTACAATGTAGAAGGGCTAAATTGAGCCAATGAATACACAGGTTATCTCACAGAAGCATCCTTTTTCTGTGGTGAGAACACTTAAAATCCACTTGCTTATGTCATGCTGTCTTTGATTGTCCTGATATTAAGAAACTTCTTGGCTGGGCATGGTGGCTCAATCCTGTAATCCCAGCACTTTGGGAGCCCAAGGTGGGTGGATCACAAAGTCAGGCATTCGAGAACAGCCTGACTACCGTAGTGAAACCCCTTCTCTACGAGAAATAAAAATAAAAATAAATTAGCTGCGCGTGGTGGCAGGTGCCTGTAATCCCAGCTACTTGGGAGGCTGAGGCAGGAGAATCGCTTGAACCTGGGAGGCGGAGGTTGCAGTGAGCTGAGATGGCACCACTGCGCTCCAGCCCAGGCAACAGTGTGAGACTCCGTCTCAAAAAAAAAAAAAAAAAAAAAAAAAAAAAGAAACTTCTTTCTCCCTCTTCTCCCTCACAATTTCACATTACTATCTAGAACACCATTTGCTACTTTTATACTGCCTTGTATTTTTATTTGTATTTTCATGTATTTAGTTATTTTATTGGGTGCACCATAAACTCTCTGAGGGCAGATATTATATCTTTACATCTGCAGTTTGTAGCACACAGCCTTGTGGTTAAAAGCTGATCAAAAAATGTTTATTCCTATCTTTGAAGATGACAATGAGATTCTTTATATTCAGGAGAGAAAAGAAAAATAAATGAAGAAAGCTAGTTATTGAACAAACTAGTTCAGAGCGTTTTGCATCTAACAGCCAAAGGCATAAATAATAAATCATCAGAAGTTGATTAATAATTTTACCATTGTTATTGATCACATAGAATTAAAAGAAATATAATACATATTTTTCTTCCATGCTTGGCTGATAAATATGATTGTATAAATGTTAATCAACAAAAGTAAAATGTTTATTCTTTTAAAAAGCTAGGTTGAGGTTAGCAACAAAATTGGGTTATTGTTTTAGGATTACAATATCAGCCACTTGAATATTGACTTTTTTCACTTATATTTATAAAGTTCTTCTAAATTTAAAGTAGTTCTAACTATCAGTAAATTTAGTCCTCATTGCATTTTCTTTTTGCTCCTTTTTCTTAAAACCTTCAGAGAAAAGTTTGTCAAGTCTAATTGGGCTAGAGTGATTTATATATAGATCTTCTTATGGTAAAATGGGTGAATTAGCTAATGCATCAAGGTTGGCATACGGCAAGACTGCTCAGAAAGCCTGAAGGATAGGGCTTTGATTATTTGGAAGTAATAGAAAATAGTCCAGAGTTGTTAAAAAGGCAGAAAGAAAGACAGAAATATATGTATCAGAAGTTTGTGATGAAGAATTTTGAAAGGGAGACAGTAAAGTTCCAAGTTTATGAACAGTTCTACTAGAAGAAAATATTAACATAAATACTTAAAAGAACATACCTCTTAGTAAACTTTGAATTAAGTGGTTTGGCTATAAATATCTAGAAGGTTTTGACATTTCACATATAAGTCTATGCTAAACTTTATAGGTAATATCTAATTTTTCTGAATATCTCCATAAATACACAATTCTCTCTTTACATCCAAGTTTTAGGCAGGGGCGAGATAGTATTTTTTTAAAAGAATAGCTAAGGTACATATCTACATCTCTATGTACATACATATATGTATATCTTTCTTGCATTGAGGTCACCAGAAGGCTCACTTTTGGTTTGTTTTAAGTACTGACAAAGTAAAAGGACTTTGGAAGGAGCCTTTCAATAGTGGATGTAGAAATAGCCTTACACACATTTATCTTGAACACTTCGTTTCACAGACTTGTCCAGCCAATTGCTTATACTGTAAATTGGAAATCTGTGTGGTTTTTTTTTTTCTTTTCTTTTCTTTTTTTTTTTTTTGCATGGTCTAGCTGTTCCAACATATAGCTAAATTAAGACATGAAAGGCTGAGCTGGAAGGAAGACTCTAAGAGCAACAGAAGAAAAGAGGAAGTATTTCTCCATTTGTGCCTAATTACTGCTACCCTCACGGCTGAATACACAGTAATTCTTCCCTAATACTGACCTAAATGTCAGATAGAGAATGCTTGCTGGTACAAGTACCTGCTGAATATCTTGTAAGTTTAAAGCAGGTAATTTGGGTCCATGAAAACTACTGAAATGAGGCAAAGTTGGAGTGACTGTCTCTCAGCTCATTCAGGAAAACAATTGTTGGTAACTTTAGAATCTGTGATCTCTATGAAGTTTTTCCCTATTGATGTCCTCTACTCTAAGCTCTCCTTATCTCCCCTCATCTCTTTCCTAACAAATAAAAAGAAGGATAATTTTTTTAGAATTAAAAATAAGTTGCCGGGCCCAGTGGTTCACACCCGTAATCCCAGCAATTTGGGAGGCCGAGGTGGGCAAATCACTTGAGGTCAGAAGTCGGCGATCGGCCTAGCCAACATGGTGAAACCTCATCTCCACTAAAATACAAAAATTAGCTGGGTGTGGTGGCAGGAGCCTGTAATCCCAGCTACTTGAGGGTCTAAGGCAGGAGAATCCCTTGAACCTAGGAGGTAGAGTTTGCAGTGAGCTGAGAATGCCACTGCACTCCAGCCTGGTGACAGAGTGAGACTGTCTCAAAAATAAATAAGTGAATAAATAAAAATTTTAAAAAAGTTAAAATGATCTAAGTAAATGCTTTAGTATTTTGATAAATAGCTGTTCTTGTGGTAGTGAATAAGTCTCATGAGATCTGACGGTTTTATTTTTTATTTTTTTCTTTATTTCTGCTAAAAATAAAAACGGGATATATGTGCAGAACATGCCGGTTTGCTACACAGGTATACATGTGCCATGGTGGTCTGCTGCCCCCACTGACCTGTCCTCTAAGTTCCCTCCCCTCACCCCCTACCCCCAACAGGCCCTGGTGTGTGATGTTCCCCTCCCTGTGTCCATGTGTTCTTCATGTTCAGCTCCCACTTATGAGTGAGAACATGTGGTGTTTGGTTTTCTGTTCCTGTGTTAGTTTGCTGAGGATGATGGCTTCCAGCTTCATCCATGACGCTGCAAAAGACATGATCTCATTCCTTTTTATGGCTGCACAGTACTCCATGCTGTATATGTACCACATTTTCTTCATCCAGTCTATCATTGATTGGCATTTGGGTTGGTTCCATGTCTTTGCTGCAATAAATATGTAAATAGTGCTGCAATAAACATGCTTGTGCATGTGTCTTTATAGTAGAATGATTTATATTCCTTTGGTTATATACCTAGTCATGGGATTTCTGGGTCAAATGGTATTTCTGGTTCTAGATCCTTGAGGAATTGCCACACTGTCTTCCACAATGGTTGAACTAATTTACACTCCCACCAACAATGTAAAAGTGTTCTTATTTCTCTACAGCCTTGCTAGCATCTATTGTTTCCTGACTTTTTAATAATTGCCATTCTGACTGACCTCGCTCTGTGCCTGGAGATGTTACTCAGGGAGGCTGGAGAGCAGCAAAGATGGGTGTCTGCTCCTTCTTATGGGACCTCTGACCTCGAGGGGCACCAACGTGATGCCAGTAGGATTGCTTCTGTATAAGGTGTCTGACAACCCCAGTTGGAGGGTCTCACCCAGTTGGGTGGCACAGGGAGCAGGGCCCATTTAACAAAGCACTTTGTCCCTTGGTGGAGAAGATGTGTTTCACTGGAGAAAACCCACTCATCTGGGCTTCCCAGATTCCTCAGATCTATGAAGAGTGGCTAAGTCTGCTGGTCTGCAGAGACTGCGGCCACCCCTCCTGCTAGGGGCTTAGGCCCAGGGAGATCGGAATTCTGTTCCTGAGCCTCTGGCTGGAGTTATTGGAGATCCTGCAGGGAAGCCCCATCCACTGAGGAAGGATGGGCTGGTGTTGGGCCTGAAGAGGCACTCTGGCTGCAGACTGCCACAGCTGGTGTATTGGGCTGTGGGGACAAGACTTAAGACCAAGCCATTCAGTCTCCCTGGCTCCAGCAGGGGAAAAGCACAGCCTGGAGCTATAGAAATAGGTGCCACCCTTCCCCCTGTCCAGGGAGCTTAGCATGTTAGGTAGCTGTGAGTCCCAGTGCTGGCTGGTGCCCCTCCCACAAGGAGCTCAAAGGGCTTAGACAGCAGCCAGCCGCAGCCTGTGCTGATGGCGCCTCCCCAGAATGTTCAGTAGGCTTAAGGAGATTCCTTCTGAGAGGCTGTAAGAATCTGTGCATTCTGGGGTTGGGACACTAGTCCCCAGTGGTGTAGGTTCACAAGTAGGATCTTCTGATCTGTGGGTTGCACGGTTCTGTGGAAAAAGCACAGTTTCCCTGGTTGGGTAGTGTGCTCACTCACCACCTCCCTTGGCTGGCGTAGGGGGCTCCCCTTCCCTGTGTGGCTCTCAGGTGGGCCGCCACACCACCCTGCTCTTCCTTCTCTCCATGGATCATGCCAGCCTTCTAGTCAATTTTGATGAGAGAACCAGGATACCTTGGTTGCCGGTGAAGGATTCACATGCTTATTATGGTTTTCTTCAGTGGGAGCCTGCCATCACTGTGGCTTGTAGTCAGCCATCTTGGCCCCACCCCCAATCTGATGGTTATATAAATGGGAGTTCCCCTGCACAAGCTCTCTTGCCTGCCACCATGTAAGATGTGACTTTCCTTCTTATTCCCCTTCTGCCATGATTGTGAGGCCTCTCCAGCCATATGGAACTGCGAGTCAATTAAACCTCTTTCCTTTATAAATTACCCAGTCTCAGGTATGTCCTTATTAGCAGCATAAGAACAGACTAATACAGTAAATTGGTAACAGTAGAGTGGGACAGTGCTCTAAAGATACCTGAAAATGTGGAAGTGACTTTGGAACTGGGCAGCAGGCAGAGGTTGGAAGAGTTTGGAGGGCTCAGAAGAAGGAAAATGTGGGAAAGTTTGGGACTTCCTAGAGACTTGGAGGACTCTGAAGACAGGAAGATGTGGGAAAGTTTGGAACTTCCTAGAGACTTGTTGAATGACTTTGACCAAAATGCTGATAGTGAAATGAATGATGAAGTCCAGGCTGAGGTGGTCTCAGATGGAGATGAGGAACTTATTGGGAACTAGAGTAAAGGTCACTCTTGCTATGCAAAGAGACTGGCAGCATTTTGCTCCAGTCTGTGGAACTGAGAGATCTGTGGAACTTTGAACTTGAGAGAGATAATTCAGGGTATCTAGCGGAAAATATTTCTAAGAGGCAAAGCATTGAAGAGGAAGCAGAACATAAAAGTTTGGGAAATTTGCAGCCTGGTGATGCAATAGAAAAGAAAAACCCATTTTCTGGGGAGAAATTCAAGCCTGCTGAAGAGATTTGCATAGATAACAAGCAGCCTAATGTTAATCTCCAAGACAATGGGGAAAATGTCTCCAGGGCATGTCAGAGACCTTCAAGGCAGCCCCTTGTATCACAGGTCTAGGAGGGAAAAAATAGTTTCCTGGGCCAGATCTAGGCCCCTCCTTCTGTGTGCAGCCTAGGGACTTGGTTTCCTGCTTTCTAGCAGCTCCAACTGTGGCTAAAAGGGGCCAAGGTACAGCTCAGACTGTGGCTTCAGAGGGTGCAAGCCCCAAGTCTTGGCAGCTACCATGTGGTATTGAGCCTGTGGGTTCACAGAAGTCAATAATTCAGGTTTGGGAACCTCCACCTAGATTTCAGAGAATGTATGGAAACACCTGGATGTCCACGTAGTATTTTGCTGCAGGGGCGGGGCCCTCATGGAGAACCTCTGCTAAGGCAGTGCAGAAGGGAAATGTGGAATTGGAGCACCCCCACAGAGCCGCCACTGGTGCACTGCCTAGTGGAGCTGTGAGAAGATGGCTTCTGACCTCCAGACCCCAGACTGGTCGATCTACTGATGGCTTTCACTGTGGACCTAGAAAACCCGCAGACATTCAACATTAGCCCATGAAAGCAGCCAGGCAGAGGCTGTACCCCTGCAAAGCCATAGGGACAGAGCTGCCCAAGGCCATGGGATCCCACCTCTTGCATCAGTGTGACCTGCATGTGGGACATGGAGTCAAAGGAGATCATTTCAGAGCTTTAAGATTTGGCTGCCCCTCTGGATTTCTGACTTGCATGAGGCCTGTAGCTCCTTCATTCTGGGCAATTTCTCCCATTTGGAATGGGTGTATTTACCCAATGCCTGTACCCCTGTTGTATCTAGGAAGTAATTAACTTGCTTGTGATTTTACAGGCTTCTAGATGGAAAGGATTTGCCTTGTCTCAGATGAGACTTTGGACTGTGGACTTTTGAGTTAATGCTGAAATGAGTTAAGACTTTGGGGGACTGTTGAGAAGGCATGATTTGTTTTGAAATGTGAGGACATGAGATTTGAAAGGGGCCAGGGGAGGAATGATATGGTTTGGCTGTGTCCCCATCCAAATCTCACCTTGAATTGTAATAATTCCCATGTGTCAAGGGTAGGACCAGGTGGAGATAATTGAATCAAGGGAGTGGTTTCCCCCATACTGTTCTTGCAGTAGAGAATAAGTCTCATGAGATCTGATGGTTTTATGAGGGGGAAGTCCCCTGCATATGCTCTCTTGCCTGCCACAATGTAAGATGTAACTTTGCTTCTCGTTCTCCTTCCACCATGATTGTGAGGCCTCCCCAGCCATGTGGAACTGTGAGTCAATCAAACCTTTTTCCTTTATAAATTACCTAGTCTTGGGTATGTCTTTATTAGCAGCGTGGGAAAGGATTAATAAAGTAACTGAGTCTAATGAGATTAAAGAATTGTTCCAAAGTCACTCTGGTATCCTGATAGGTCTGTGAAGTTTCCCAGCCACCCATTTCTTCACGTTGGAAAACTTAGAATGCAGTTTCAATTGATGTGTGTCTTCTAGAATGTAGCTAGGAGTTAATTTTTTTACCTAAGCGGTCATTATATCTATATTATGGAACTTAGTATAGTTCAATTGATTAGCTAGGTATTTATTGGCCTGTTTCATTACACTAGGAGCATATTGCTTGTTCATATCTAATTCATTCTTAGATCTTCCAACACTGCTTCCCAACTCATCCCAAGCACAGTGCTTTATTCAAGTAGAGGTAGAAACAAATTTGTTGAGCTGAATCATGTTAAAACCGTAGAGTATATATGTTAGCATGAAGAAATTGGGAAGTGACTTCAAGTCAGATGTCCAGGTTTATCATATATATATATATATATATATATATAGAGAGAGAGAGAGAGAGAGAGAGAGAGAGAGAGAAAATATATGTATATATATAGAAAATATATATATATAGAAAATATATATATATATAAAATACTTTAAGTTCTAGGGTACATGTGCACAACGTGCAGGTTTGTTACATATGGATACATGTGCCATGTTGGTGTGCTGCACCCATTAACTTGTCATTTACATTAGGTATATCTCCTAATGCTATCCCTCCCCCCTCCCCCCACCACACAACAGGCCCCGGTGTGTGATGTTCCCCTTCCTGTGTCCAAATGTTCTCATTGTTCAATTCCCACCTATGAGTGAGAACAAGCGGTGTTTGGTTTTTTGTCCTTGCGATAGTTTGCTGAGAATGATGGTTTCCAGCTTCATCCATGTCCCTACAAAGGACATGGACTCATCATTTTCTATGGCTGCCTAGTATTCCAGGTGTATATATGCCATATTTTCTTAATCCAGTCTATCATTGTTGGACATTTGGGTTGGTTCCAAGTCTTTGCTATTGTGAGTAGTGCCACAATAAACATACGTGTGCATGTGTCTTTAGAGCAGCATGATTTATATTCCTTTGGGTATATACCCAGTAATGGGATGGCTGGGTCAAATGGTATTTCTAGTTCTAGATCCCTGAGGAATCGCCACACTGTCTTCCACAATGGTTGAAGTAGTTTACAGTCCCACCAATAGTGTAAAATTGTTCCTATTTCTCCATGTCCTCTCCAGCACCTGAGAATGGTGATCATTAAAAAGTCAGGTTTATCTTCTATAAGAAATCGCAATATGTTTTGATTTGGGACTCGACTCATTTTATGGCCTTTAGTCGTTCCTTCTTTCCTCTTAATTTCTCCTTTTAACATCTTCATGCTTCACCATGCAAATGCTTAACCTATCCTATTACTTAGGAATTGCTGTGTCAGAATCCTGTCTCCAGAAGGATATCTAGAATGTTTCTCACACCTGTGTCTTCTTTTTTTTTTTTTTCATTTTAAATATCCTGTTCTTACTTGAATCTCACTCTTTTGTGGTAGCATCTTGGTTGCCTTCGCTGACCCTTCCTCCCCTTTGCAGGGGTCTACATCCACATGCCCATAAGGCTATTTCATACTGTCTTAGCTCTGAATATAGCATTTCTTTTATCAAAAACTTTTTTGACAAGGCTTTCTGGAGAGCTGAGCTCAAAAAACCCAAGATGTGTATTTGATTTTGTGACCTAGATGTTAAAATCTACACTGCTTTACTATATTTGATCTGAGAATAGCATTCTTTGCTCTTTGAATTAATTAAGTTGTTTGGAGGCAGAAGAAACTACCTTTAGATCAACTTGATTCAATATAGTTGTTCACCAGGCTCTGGCAACTCCTAAAATACATTTTTTGATTACCTAAATTACTATGCAGAAAACTTTCTTAAGTAAATAGGCCTCTGCCTAATGGAATGTTGTACTCCAATTTCATAGTCAGTCACTCTGCTTCATTCCTGTGTATCTAAAATTATAAAATGATAGACAAATATTTGCAGAGTAAAAAATATACTTGAAACTTCTGTATTATGGTTTGATGACTGTGGATCTTCTTGCAGCTATTAGGTTTAGTGTTATTTGAGTATTTTTTATCATTTGGATATTATTATTGGTGTGCAGAGAATTTAGAAGCTCCTTCCCTCAACTGGAGTATCTTATATTAAAAAAAACCCTAAATGTGTCCATTGCCTTACTGAGTTTTCACTTTTAATTTGAGCTTTTAATACATGCTATTTCATTAAAAATATATTTTACTATATTCCCTAGTTTCTATATAGCTCAGCAGAAACAGAGGGTATAAATAAAAGTTTTGAAGTAAAATAATTCGGTGTATTAGGAGTATATACCTGATCCTTTGATAGACTAAAGCTTTGTTTCTGTTTAGTGTTTTGATGAGAGGACTGTTTTGGGTAAGGTTTTTGTTGTTTTCATTCCAAAATGAAAGTTAATTTTACCTCAAACCATGAATTGGGTAGCCACGATTAATGGATCAATAAAATAAACAATAATCTCTTAATGTTTTAAGTCAATTTAGCTTATATTCCTGTATCAAAATATTCATAAAAAATTATGGGCTTATTTGCTTTATTCATTCTTTGTCATGCATTGGAGACAAAGTTAATAATTAAACTTGAAACATGTGTGTGTGTATTCTTTTATATATTGGTAAAATCATTCACTATAGAAGTCTTTATATCTTCCTTTTCAGTACAACACATGTCCTTTCAAGGGAAGTTTTATATCCATGAATCATAGATGCTAGAGAAAGTTACAATGGGGCAGTAATTTTAGAATCTTAATTGCCTTGCCAGATAAATTTTTTTTTTTATTTTTCTCAGACATCATTTGATTCTGTCCTCCTAAGAAGTGTTTTCCAGTACATAGGCAAAAAGAACTGTAATCATTTCTGGTTTTATTTGCACTAAAGAACTAGCTTTTGGGAAAAATCATCCACTTAACCTGTCAAGATAGTAAAAAACTTTTGCTTATGCTGTCTCTGAATTTGTCTCTACAAAATTATATTTTAAACTGAATTAAGCTATTATATTTTTAATACATAAGATCACTACCTACCTCATTCTAGTCATTTTTTTATAATTAGGAGTACAGTTAGGGATAAACAAGAACTAGAAAAGATTCTCAATTATCTTTTACTCTGTTATTTTCTTATAGTATTTTTCATATGAGAAATAATACACTGTGGAAACTGTAATAGATTTTGAGGTAATGATAACTACATTTTTCCTCTTAAGAAATATAGCTTTGGCCTGGCATGATGGCTCATGCCTGTAATCCCAGCACTTTGGGAGGACGAAGTGGGTGGATCACGAGGTCAGGGGTTCCAGACCAGCCTGACCAATATGGTGAAACCCTATCTCTACTAAAAATAAAAAAATTAGCTGTGTTTGGTGGTGTATGCCTGCAGTCCCAGCTACTTGGGAGGCTGAGGCAGGAGAATCGCTTGAACCTGGGAGGTGAAGGTTGCAGTGAGCCAAGATCTCACCACTGCACTCCAGCCTGTGCAACAGAGCAAGACTCTATCTCAAAAAAAAAAAAAAAAAAAAAAAGGAATGAATACAAATACAATGTCAAGAAGTTCAAAATATTTAGGGAGTATATGACAGAACAACTGAAGCTATATTTCTTTCTTTTTTTTTTTTTTTTTGAGACAGAGTCTTGCTCTGTTGCCCAGGCTGGAGTGCAGTGGCACGATCTCAGCTCACTGCAACCTCTGCCTTCCAGGTTCAAGTGATTCTTGTACCTCAGCTTCCCAGTAGCTGGGATTACAGGCATGCGCCACTACACCTGGCTAATTTTTGTATTTTTAGTAGAGATGGTGTTTTGACATGTTGGCAAGGCTGGTATAGAACTCCTGGCCTCGAATGATCTGCCCACATCAGCTTCCCAAAGTGTTGGGATTACAGGCATGAGCCACTGTGCAGGGCCTATTTTTACTGTTGCTTTGATATTTGTCTTCTCTGGTAGAGCTTAAGCTAGTAAATCCATTTTAATTCACTGCTTTGTCTTTGGTGCTTGAGGCATGATAAGTTGTTGACAATATTTGGCAATTGTTTAAAAAATAAAGTTTTACTTTAAAAGTCCAAAAATAATCTAAAAGGTAAAACCCCATCATTAAAATTGAATTTCTGTCCAGAATATCCTTAATTGAAACTTTGAATGGCATTGAAACTTGAGAAAGAAGAGTTTTCATTTTCTCCACACTTCTCCTCACAAATATTCTTTCAAATCTATTAATAAGAAATTGTATTGAGTTAGTTTGTACTGGGATGATCCTACTTATAAACAGAATAGGAGGCAACATTAGTGTATAATTTGAGGAACCGAAAGAGATCTGCCTGTTCAAAAATAGCTCCCACCTAGCTACCACAGTATTTTAAATGCCTGTCACTGGAGCTGTTTTGTTGTTGTTGTTGTTAAATGTGACTCGGGGGTAGGGGGGCATTTTAAGATTACTTATTTTGGTAGTTGTAAAAAGAAAATGACTTACCCTTTATGGGGCAGTACTTGTAGTTAGGGGTTACCATATGAAAGATAACCTTTTCATTAGTAAAATAACATACAATGTGCTATTATTTTGTTGAATAGGCAGAGTTTTTTTGTGTGTGTTTTGTTTTGTTTTGTTTTGTTTTTCTGAGATGGAGTCTCACTCTGTTGCCCAGGCTAGAGTGCTGTAGCGTGATCTCTACGCACTGCAACCTCCGCCTCTCGGGTTCAAGCAATTCTCCTGCCTCAGCCTCCCAAGTAGCTGGGATTACAGGCGTCCGCCACCATTCCCGGCTAATTTTTTGTATTTTTACTAGGGAAGGGGTTTCACCATGTTAGCCAGGATGGTCTATTTGAGAGAAAAAAAAACTTATAAACCTGTAAGAAGATTTGTTTAGCTTCAGGTAAGGATTAGGAGGTACTTTTTCAGGGAGAGTAAGAGAGGAGGGGAATAAACAATATCAGTGATTAGAATATATGTGCAAAGTTTAAGAAAAAGAAAAGAAAAAATGAAATATCCCTGAAATACATAAGATCCCACGGAACATGGAAAATTAATATATTCTATGTGTTTTGATTATAGAGTGAATATGATGACAGGGCTAGAATTTGATGAGCAGTGATGTGTGGGACAGACATAGGGTTGAGGAAGGAGAGTTGCTTAGCAACCCAAAGGCCGCCAAAGCAATGAGACCTTGTCAGAAGAGATGCTTTGGCTTATGGGATCACCATCTGCTCATTTACCTAAGCCAGGAAGCAAAGGAAAATGGAGCTGGGAGTGGCACAGATTTCGCTTGTTTCATAATTTTACTTACAGCTGACTTTCTTATTTTGAGTTCACCTTTTCTATTTTCCTTTTTCTCTTTGGCAAAGGTGAAAATGTGTTCTGCAGTGGCTAGAAGGCACAATCAGGAAAGAAGAAAATGAAATAATAGACTTGAGTTATTCCCATAATAAGTATTCAGGCTCTTGAGTCACTTAGAACTTGAGTCAATTTCTGTTATTTTTATTAAGATTTACCCCCTTAGCAAATTTTAAGTACTTACAATACGATATTGTTAGCTATAGGCGTTTGCTCTGTTGTAGTTCTCCAGAACTTATTTATCCTGTATAACTGAAACTTTGTACCCTTTGACCATCACCATCTGTTTGTTTTCTTAACCAAACATTTCCTCCACTGAATGGATGAATGGTGTGCATGTGGAGGAGAATCCAGGGTGAACAAACCATAGTGTACAGATTGTGGCTATTTCTATTCAAATCTGGGCACTCCCCACCCCTAGTTGTATCCTCAGGCAGGTTATTTAACCTCCCTAAATTGAACTGTAATCCGCTATAAAAATGAAGTCAATAATGGCTCCTGACTGCTGGGTTATGTGACGGTTAAATGAACTAATGCATGAAGAGAGCATAACCCATACCGTGTTGACAAACTGCTCAATAAATATCAGCCGTTATTCATCAGGGGAACACCCCTTTCCTCCCCAAAAGCTTGATCAAGCAGGAATGATCTTAGAGTTAATGATGACCCAGAAATTCTTAAGATGTCTTTGGAGACACCAGTTTAACACCCTTCTAGGTGTTAAACTATGGGTAATTATACAAAAGCAAAATCCCTGAGGGCTCCCAATTGTAGTAAGAGATATCTGTCTCACTGGCACAAATATGTTATAAAAGGAAACCTTTGATCTATAACAAAAGTGACATTTTATTGAGCCTATTTCTCTCCTAGAAGATTTGAATCATAAGTAGTTTATGTTTCACATGAAGTTAACGCTACGTTATTAGAGAAATTCTTTGAACTATAATTGTGGAGAATTTTAAGTACTACGTGCCAGATAATTTACTTAACAGACAAGCTATGCTGGGCAGAACTAATTAAATACCCAGCTTTTGAGCTTCCTTCTTGCACATTAAGACAGACCTCTTTCTTTATATGTTTTTTGGTCCAAATTCTATCACCGTTCCCAGATATTGCTCTAGAATCTTACAGTAGCTTCTTTCATTCAGCAGTACCCTTTTAATGTTCAGCCGCTGCAGCCTGGCTGCTGCCTCATCCACTTTACTGTTCTCATGGGGGATATTAATGGCATCTATAGTGTCAACTCTAAACCAATGGGTACTCTTCAGTCCATATTTGTAGGCTTTGGTACTAAGGATCACATTATATGTTTTTAAAATTATTTATTCTATTTGCTTTCATGAGGATATTCTCTCCTTGTTATAAATCTCTGACTGCCGTTTCTTTGTCTCTTTTGCAGGTTTTCCCTCTTCTGCCATCCCTTTAATGCTTTCTAAGGTTTGATCCTTGGTCTGTTTCTCTTTGCTTTTTCCATATTCTTTTTGGATGATCTCATTTATCTACCATCTATAGGTCAATCACTCCTAAAGCTGGATCTTCAGATTTCAGCCTTTTATTTTCAGACATCTATCTGTCCGTATGTCCAAGGAGGACATCTTCACCCAAACCACCGCCATCACAAATGTGTTCTTCTTTTTTTCTGCTTTGGCTTATGAAATCACCATCTGCCCATTCACTTCAACCAGAAAGCCTAAGAATCATTTTCAACTGCTATTGCATCTTCCCCATATCGAAGTCCAGTCAAATTTATTTCCTAGTATTTCTCAATCTGTGCTAGGTGCTTCAGTCTTTACTGCTGCTGCCTTCATCATGTATTTATTATTTCAAAAGCTTTCTAAATGCTCTCAATTTTCCAGTCTTACTCTTTCAATGATGATGATTATAGCAGACCCTTAAGTAGCATTTCTGTATGGGCCTCTGTTCTAAGTGCTTTACCTATCAACTCATTTAATCCCCAAGACAACCCCATAAAGTAGGTAATCTTATTGTATGCTTTTTATAGATAAGACTTTGTGGTGCAGAGAGGTTAAGTAACTCGTTACTTAAGATCACAGAGCTAGTAATGAACAGAGGCATGATGTAAACCCAGGCAGCCAGGCTTCAGCATCCATTCTTCCTTACTCTTTTTTTTTTTTTTTTTTGAGACGGAGTCTCACTCTGTGGCCCAGGCTAGAGTGCAGTGGTACGATCTTGGCTCACTGTAAACTCTGCCTCCTGGGTTCAAGTGATCCTTCTGCAACAGCCTCCCGAGTAGCTGGAACTACAGGCGTGCACCACCACACCCAGCTAATTTTGTATTTTTAGTAGAGATGGGGTTTCACCATATTGGCCAGGCTGGTCTCGAACTCCTGACCTTGTGATCCGCCCCCCCAGGCCTCCTAAAGTGCTGGGATTACAGGTGTGAGCCGCCGCACCGGGTGGATTCTTCTTATCAGAGTAATCTGTGTACAAGGAAATGATCTGTGTTGTTTCTCGGCTGCCCATTGCCAGCAGAATAAAGCTTACTCTCTTTAATATGGCATAAAAGTCTGGTCTTTACCTTTCTGTGCTCCTTCGCTTGTTTTCCACGTCACACTATATTCTAGCCACCTTCTGTTTGTACCATACTCTAACATTACACATTATGTACTGTACTATAGCAATGATCAACTCTTCATCTTTGCATATCCACGATGCAGCTTGGCATTCATTTTCTCTGTTCTTGTACTGATAAATTTTTTGAACACACATTTACAAATGCTCTAACACTTTAGACAGTTTGTTGAAAGTCTAATGTGCCAGGAAGAATTTTAAGATGGTCACCTCCTCAGATTCCTGGTCCTTGGTGTACACACACCTTCTCCCAGTTAGTCAAGCAACCATGAATCTAGGTACTGCCTTACATTTCAGTTCCAGCAAATGTACTGGGGTTTGTCTCATGGTCCAAAATTCCTTCCATGCTGTGAAGGAATTTTGCAGATGTTATTAAAGTTCCAAATCAGTTGACCTTAAAATAGAGAAATTACCTTGTTAGGCCTGACCTAATCACATGAGCCTTTTTTGAAGCAGAAGGTTTCTCCCAGCTTGTCATGCAAGAGGAAGTCAAGAAATTCAAAGCATGAAAAAGATTTGATGTGCTGTTGTTGCCTTGAAAAAGGAAGGGGCCCCACGGCAAGAAATGAGGGAGGCCTCTAGAAGGTAAAAACAGTCTCTGGATGAAATCCTGCAAGAAAACAGGAACCTCTCTACAACTGCCAGGAACTATATTATGCCAACAACAAGAATGAGCTTGGCAACTATTCTTTAAATACAATATTATGTCATCTGCTAGTCGAGATAGTTATACTTTTTCCTTTCCAATTTGAATGTGTCTTATTTCTTTTTCTTGCCTAATTTCCCTGACTAGACCCTCTAGTACAATGTTGAGTAGAGGTGACAAGAGTGGACATACTTGTCTTCTTCCTGAACTTAAGGGGAAATTTTCTAGTCTTTCACCATTAAATCTGAGGTTAGCTTTGGGATTTCTGTAGATGCTCTTTATCGGATTGAGGAAGTTCCCTTCTATTCCTAGTTTTTTGAGTGTTTCTTTTATCATGTTGAGAGTTTGTTTTATATAAAAAGGGCATTGGAATTTGTCAAATGATTTTTCTGAATTGATTGAAATGATCATATAGTTTCTTTGTTTAATCTATTGATATGTTATGTTACATTAATTGCTTTTTGGTGTTAAGGCTACCTTTCATTCCTAGGATAAATCCCACTTGGTCACAGTGCAAAATCTGTTGCATATGTTGTTGGATTCAGTTTGCGTGTATTATGTTGAGAATTTTTATGCCTATCTTTATAAGAGGCATTGTCATGTAGTTTCTATTCTTATGAGGTCTTTACGTGGTCTTAGTATGATAATAATACGGGCCTCAGAATGCATTTGAAAGTGTTTCCTCCTCTTCTATTTTTTGGAAGAGGGTTTGATTTTTATTAATTCTTCTTCACATGTTTGGAGGAATTTGCCAGTGAGGCCATCCAGGCTTATGATTTTCTTTGTGGAAAGTGTTAAAATTAGTCATTTAAATTCCTATAGATTGAGTCTGATCTCCTACTTCTTGAGTAAGTTTCAGTAATTTTTGTCTTACCAGGAATTTATACACTTAAATTATCTAAGTTGTTGCCATATTAGTCAGTATTCTTTCATAATTCCTTTTATTTCTGTAAGGCTAATAATTCTCTCATACTGAATTTAGTCGTTTGAATCTTCT